>NC_000004.12:50012061-50312061 GCF_000001405.40 Homo sapiens | reverse complement strand
TATCCACATATCCACCTGCAGATTCTTCAAAAGGAGTGTTTCCAAAATGCTGTATCAAAACCAAGGTTCAACTCTGTTAGTTGAGGACACACATCACAAATAAGTTTCTGAGAATGCTTCTGTCTAGATTTTATATGAATTTATCCCATTTCCAACGAATCCCTCTAAGCTATCCAAGTATCCACCTGCAGATTCTACAAAAAGAGTGTTTCCAAAATGCTGTATCAAAACAAAGTTTCAACTCTGTTAGTTGAGGACACACATCACAAATAAGTTTCTGAGGATGCTTCTGTCTAGTTTTAATTTGAAGATATTTCCTTTCTCCCCATAGGCCTGAAAGCGCTTGAAATGTCCACTTCCAGATACTACAGAATGAGTGTTTCAAACCTGCTCTATCAAAGTGAATGTTCAATTCTGTGACTTCAATGCAAACATCACAAAGTAGTTCCTGAGAATGCTTCTCTCTACATTTTATATGTAATCCCGCTTCCAACGAAATCCTCAAAGCCATCCGAATATCCACTTTCTGATTCCACAAAAAGATTGTTTTAAAACTGCTCTGTAAAAACAAAAGTTCAAGTCTGTTAGTTGAATACACACATCACAAACAAGTTTCTGAGAATGCTTCTGTCTAGTTTTTATGGGAAGATATTTCCTTTTTCACCATAGGCCTCAAAGCGCTCGAAATGTCCACTTCCAGATAGTGCCGAAAGAGTGTTTCAAACGTGCTCTATAAAAGAGAATATTCAACTCTGTGACTTGAATGGAAACATCACAGAGCAGTTTCTGAGAATGCCTCCGTCTAGATTTTATATGAAGATATTCCCGTTTCCAACGAAATCTTCAAATCTATCTAAATATCAACTTGCAGATTCTACTAAAGGAATGTTTCCAAAATGCTGTATCCAAGCAATGGTTCAACTCTGTTAATTGAGGACATACAGCACAAAGAAGTTTCTGAGAATGCTTCTGTCTAGATTTTATATGAAGATATCCCGTTTCCAACGAAATCCTCAAAGCTATCCAAATATCCACTTGCAGATTCTACAAAAAGATTGTTTCAAAACTGCTGTGTCAAAAGGAAGGTTCAACTCTGTTACTTGAGTACACACATCAAAAAGCAGTTTCTGAGAATGCTTGTTTCTGGTTTTTATGAGAAGATATTTCCTTTTTCACCATAGGCCTCAAAGCGCTGCAAATGTCCACTTCCAAATATTACAAAAAGAGTGTTTCAAACCTGCTCTATGAAAGGAAGTTTTCAACTCTGTGAGTGGAATGCAAACATCACAGAGAAGTTTCTGAGAATGCATCTGTCTTGAGTTTATATGAAGATATTCCCGTTTCCAATGAAATCTTAAAATCTATCCAAATATCCACCTGCAGATCCTACAAAAGGAGTGTTTCCAAAATGCTGTATCAAAACAAAGGTTCAACTGTGTTCGTTTAGGACACACATCACAAATAAGTTTCTGAGAATCCTTCTGTCTACTTTTTATTTGAAGATATTTCCTTTCTCCCCGTAGGCCTGAAAGCGCTTGAAATGTCCACTTCCAGATACTACAGAAAGAGTGTTTCAAACCTGCACTCTGAAAAGGAATGTCAATTCTGTGACTTGAATGCAAACATCAGAAAGAAGTTCCTGAGAATGCTTCTCTCTAGATTTTATACGTCATCCCGTTTCCAACGAAATCCACAAAGCTACCCAATTATCCACTTTCAGATTCCACAAAAAGAGTGTTTTAAAATTGCTCTGTAACAGAAATGTTCAACTCTGTTAGTTGAATACACACATCACAAACAAGTTTCTGAGACGGCTTCTGTCTAGTTTTTATGGGAAGATATTTCCTTTTAACCATAGGCCTCAAAGAGCTCGAAATATCCACTTCCAGGTAGTGCCGAAAGAGTGTTTCAAACCTACTCTATAAAAGGGAATATTCAACTCTGTGACTTGAATGCAAACATCACAAAGCAGTTTCTGAGAATGCTTCCGTCTAGATTTTCTATGAAGATATTCCCGTTTCCAACGAAATCTTCAAAGCTATCTAAATATCAACTTGCAGATTCTACTAAAGGAATGTCTCCAAAATGCTGTATCCAAACAAAGGTTCAGCTCTGTGAATTGAGGACATACAGCACAAAGAAGTTTCTGAGAATGCTCCTGTCTGGATTTTATAGGAAGATAACCCGTTTCCAACGAAATCCTCAAAGCTATCCAAATATCCACTTGCAGATTCTACCAAAAGAGTGTTTCAAAACTGCTCTGTCAAAAGGAAGGTTCAACACTGTTACTTGAGTACACACAACACAAAGAAGTTTCTGAGAATGCTTCTTTCTGGTTTTTATGAGAAGATATTTCCTTTTTCACCATAGGCCTCAAAGCGCTCGAAATGTCCGCTTCCAGGTAGTGCAGAAAGAGTGTTTCAAACCTGCTCTATGAAAGGAAGTGTTCAACTCTACTGAGTTGAATGCAAACATCACAGAGATGTTTCCGAGAATGCTTCTGTCTTGATTTTATATGAAGATATTCCGGTTTCCAACGAAATCTTCAAAGCTATCCAAATATCCACCTGCAGATTCTACAAAAGGAGTGTTTCCAAAATGCTGTATCAAAACAAAGGTTCAACTCTGTTAGTTGAGGACACACATCACAAATAAGTTTCTGAGAATGCTTCTGTCTAGTTTTTATTTGAAGGTATTTCCTTTCTCTCCATAGGCCTGAAAGCGCTTGAAATGCCCACTTCCAGATACTAGAGAAAGAGTGTTTCAAACCTGCTCTATGAAAGGGAATGTTCAATTCTGTGACTTGAATGCAAACATCACAAAGAAGTTCCTGAGAATGCTTCTCTCTAGATATTATATGTCATCCCGTTTCCAACGAAATCCTCAAAGCTATCCAAATATCCACTTGCAGATTCTACAAAAAGAGTGTTTCAAAACTCCTCTGTCAAAAGGATGGTTCAACACTGTTACATGAGTACACACAACACAAAGAAGTTTCTGAGAATGCTTCTTTCTGGTTTCTATGAGAAGATATTTCCTTTTTCACCATAGGACTCAAAGCGCTCGAAATGTCCTCTTCCAAGTAGTGCAGAAAGAGTGTTTCAAACCTGCTCTATGAAAGGAAGTGTACAACTCCATGAGCTGAATGCAAACATCACTGAGAAGTTTCTGAGAATGCTTCTGTTTGATTTTATATGAAGAAATTCCCGTTTCCAACGAAATCTTCAGAGCTATCCACATATCCACATGCAGATTCTACAAAAGGAGTGTTTCCAAAATGCTGTATCAAAACCAAGGTTCAACTCTGTTAGTTGAGGACACACATCACAAATAAGTTTCTGAGAATGCTTCTGTCTAGATTTTATATGAAGATATCCCCTTTCCAACGAATCCCTCTAAGCTATCCAAATATCCACCTGCAGATTCTACAAAAAGAGTGTTTCCAAAATGCTGTATCAAAACAAAGTTTCAACTCTGTTAGTTGAGGACACACATCACAAATAAGTTTCTGAGGATGCTTCTGTCTAGTTTTTATTCAAAGATATTTCCTTTCTCACCATAGGCCTGAAAGCGCTTGAAATGTCCACTTCCAGATCCTACAGAATGAGTGTTTCAAACCTGCTCTATCAAAGTGAATGTTCAATTCTGTGACTTCAATGCAAACATCACAAAGAAGTTCCTGAGAATGCTTCTCTCTAGATTTTATACGTAATCCCGCTTCCAACGAAATCCTCAGAGCCATCCGAATATCCACTTTCTGATTCCACAAAAAGAGTGTTTTAAAACGGCTCTGTAAAAACAAAAGTTCAACTCTGTTAGTTGAATACACACATCACAAACAAGTTTCTGAGAATGCTTCTGTCTAGTTTTTATGGGAAGATATTTCCTTTTTCACCATAGGCCTCAAAGCGCTCGAAATGTCCACTTCCAGATAGTGCAGAAAGAGTGTTTCAAACGTGCTCTATAAAAGAGAATATTCAACTCTGTGACTTGAATGGAAACATCACAAAGCAGTTTCTGAGAATGCTTCCGTCTAGATTTTCTATGAAGATATTCCCGTTTCCAACGAAATCTTCAAAGCTATCTAAATATCAACTTGCAGATTCTACTCAAGGAATGTTTCCAAAATGCTGTATCCAAGCAATGGTTCAACTCTGTTAATTGAGGACATACAGCACAAAGAAGTTTCTGAGAATGCTTCTGTCTAGATTTTATATGAAGATATCCCATTTCCAACGAAATCCTCAAAGCTATCCAAATATCCACTTGCAGATTCTACAAAAAGATTGTTTCAAAACTGCTCTGTCAAAAGGATGGTTCAACACTGTTACATGAGTACACACAACACAAAGAAGTTTCTGAGAACGCTTCTTTCTGGTTTTTATGAGAAGATATTTCCTTTTTCACCATAAGCCTCAAAGCGCTCGAAATGTCCACTTCCTGGTAGTGCAGAAAGAGTTTATCAAACCTGCTCTATGAAAGGAAGTGTTCAACTCCATGAGCTGAATGCAAACATCACAGAGAAGTTTCTGAGAATGCTTCTGTTTGATTTTATATGAAGAAATTCCCGTTTCCAACGAAATCTTCAAAGCTATCCACATATCCACCTGCAGATTCTACAAAAGGAGTGTTTCCAAAATGCTGTATCAAAACCAAGGTTCCACTCTGTTAGTTGAGGACACACATCACAAATAAGTTTCTGAGAATGCTTCTGTCTAGATTTTATATGAAGATATCCCCTTTCCAACGAATCCCACTAAGCTATCCAAATATCCACCTGCAGATTCTACAAAAAGAGTGTTTCCAAAATGCTGTATCAAAACAAAGTTTCAACTCTGTTAGTTGAGGACACACATCACAAATAAGTTTCTGAGGATGCTTCTGTCTAGTTTTAATTTGAAGATATTTCCTTTCTCCCCATAGGCCTGAAAGCGCTTGAAATGTCCACTTCCAGATACTACAGCATGAGTGTTTCAAACCTGCTCTATCATAGTAAATGTTCAATTCTGTGACTTCAATGCAAACATCACAAAGTAGTTCCTGAGAATGCTTCTCTCTAGATTTTATATGTAATCCCGCTTCCAACGAAATCCTCAAAGCCATCCGAATATCCACTTTCTGATTCCACAAAAAGATTGTTTTAAAACTGCTCTGTAAAAACAAAAGTTCAAGTCTGTTAGTTGAATACACACATCACAAACAAGTTTCTGAGAATGTTTCTGTCTAGTTTTTATGGGAAGATATTTCCTTTTTCACCATAGGCCTCAAAGCGCTCGAAATGTCCACTTCCAGATAGTGCAGAAAGAGTGTTTCAAACGTGCTCTATAAAAGAGAATATTCAACTCTGTGACTTGAATGGAAACATCACAAAGCAGTTTCTGAGAATGCCTCCGTCTAGATTTTATATGAAGATATTCCCGTTTCCAACGAAATCTTCAAATCTATCTAAATATCAACTTGCAGATCCTACTAAAGGAATGTTTCCACAATGCTGTATCCAAGCAATGGTTCAACTCTGTTAATTGAGGACATACAGCACAAAGAAGTTTCTGAGAATGCTTCTGTCTAGATTTTATATGAAGATATCCCGTTTCCAACGAAATCCTCAAAGCTATCCAAATATCCACTTGCAGATTCTACAAAAAGATTGTTTCAAAACTGCTGTGTCAAAAGGAAGGTTCAACTCTGTTACTTGAGTACACACATCAAAAAGAAGTTTCTGAGAATGCTTGTTTCTGGTTTTTATGAGAAGATATTTCCTTTTTCACCATAGGCCTCAAAGCGCTGCAAATGTCCACTTCCAAATATTACAAAAAGAGTGTTTCAAACCTGCTCTATGAAAGGAAGTTTTCAACTCTATGAGTGGAATGCAAACATCACAGAGAAGTTTCTGAGAATGCATCTGTCTTGAGTTTCTATGCAGAAATTCCCGTTTCCAACGAAATCTTAAAATCTATCCAAATATCCACCTGCAGATCCTACAAAAGGAGTGTTTCCAAAATGCTGTATCAAAACAAAGGTTCAACTGTGTTCGTTTAGGACACACATCACAAATAAGTTTCTGAGAATCCTTCTGTCTAGTTTTTATTTGAAGATATTTCCTTTCTCCCCGTAGGCCTGAAAGCGCTTGAAATGTCCACTTCCAGATACTACAGAAAGAGTGTTTCAAACCTGCACTCTGAAAAGGAATGTTCAATTCTGTGACTTGAATGCAAACATCAGAAAGAAGTTCCTGAGAATGCTTCTCTCTAGATTTTATACGTCATCCCGTTTCCAACGAAATCCACAAAGCTATCCAATTATCCACTTTCAGATTCCACAGAAAGAGTGTTTTAAAATTGCTCTGTAACAGAAATGTTCAACTCTGGTAGTTGAATACACACATCACAAACAAGTTTCTGAGACGGCTTCTGTCTAGTTTTTATGGGAAGATATTTCCTTTTAACCATAGGCCTCAAAGAGCTCGAAATATCCACTTCCAGGTAGTGCCGAAAGAGTGTTTCAAACCTACTCTATAAAAGGGAATATTCAACTCTGTGACTTGAATGCAAACATCACAAAGCAGTTTCTGAGAATGCTTCCGTCTAGATTTTCTATGAAGATATTCCCGTTTCCAACGAAATCTTCAAAGCTATCTAAATATCAACTTGCAGATTCTACTAAAGGAATGTCTCCAAAATGCTGTATCCAAACAAAGGTTCAGCTCTGTGAATTGAGGACATACAGCACAAAGAAGTTTCTGAGAATGCTCCTGTCTGGATTTTATATGAAGATAACCCGTTTCCAACGAAATCCTCAAAGCTATCCAAATATCCACTTGCAGATTCTACCAAAAGAGTGTTTCAAAACTGCTCTGTCAAAAGGAAGGTTCAACACTGTTACTTGAGTACACACAACACAAAGAAGTTTCTGAGAATGCTTCTTTCTGGTTTTTATGAGAAGATATTTCCTTTTTCACCATAGGCCTCAAAGCGCTCGAAATGTCCGCTTCCAGGTAGTGCAGAAAGAGTGTTTCAAACCTGCTCTATGAAAGGAAGTGTTCAACTCTACTGAGTTGAATGCAAACATCACAGAGATGTTTCCAAGAATGCTTCTGTCTTGATTTTATATGAAGATATTCCGGTTTCCAACGAAATCTTCAAAGCTATCCAAATATCCACCTGCAGATTCTACAAAAGGAGTGTTTCCAAAATGCTGTATCAAAACAAAGGTTCAACTCTGTTAGTTGAGGACACACATCACAAATAAGTTTCTGAGAATGCTTCTGTCTAGTTTTTATTTGAAGGTATTTCCTTTCTCTCCATAGGCCTGAAAGCGCATGAAATGCCCACTTCCAGATACTAGAGAAAGAGTGTTTCAAACCTGCTCTATGAAAGGGAATGTTCAATTCTGTGACTTGAATGCAAACATCACAAAGAAGTTCCTGAGAATGCTTCTCTCTAGATATTATATGTCATCCCGTTTCCAACGAAATCCTCAAAGCTATCCAAATATCCACTTGCAGATTCTACAAAAAGAGTGTTTCAAAACTCCTCTGTCAAAAGGATGGTTCAACACTGTTACATGAGTACACACAACACAAAGAAGTTTCTGAGAATGCTTCTTTCTGGTTTCTATGAGAAGATATTTCCTTTTTCACCATAGGACTCAAAGCGCTCGAAATGTCCTCTTCCAGGTAGTGCAGAAAGAGTGTTTCAAACCTGCTCTATGAAAGGAAGTGTACAACTCCATGAGCTGAATGCAAACATCACTGAGAAGTTTCTGAGAATGCTTCTGTTTGATTTTATATGAAGAAATTCCCGTTTCCAACGAAATCTTCAGAGCTATCCACATATCCACCTGCAGATTCTACAAAAGGAGTGTTTCCAAAATGCTGTATCAAAACCAAGGTTCAACTCTGTTAGTTGAGGACACACATCACAAATAAGTTTCTGAGAATGCTTCTGTCTAGATTTTATATGAAGATATCCCCTTTCCAACGAATCCCTCTAAGCTATCCAAATATCCACCTGCAGATTCTACAAAAAGAGTGTTTCCAAAATGCTGTATCAAAACAAAGTTTCAACTCTGTTAGTTGAGGACACACATCACAAATAAGTTTCTGAGAATGCTTCTGTCTAGTTTTTATTCGAAGATATTTCCTTTCTCACCATAGGCCTGAAAGCGCTTGAAATGTCCACTTCCAGATACTACAGAATGAGTGTTTCAAACCTGCTCTATAAAAGTGAATGTTCAATTCCGTGACTTCAATGCAAACATCAGAAAGAAGTTCCTGAGAATGCTTCTCTCTAGATTTTATACGTAATCCCGCTTCCAACGAAATCCTCAGAGCCATCCGAATATCCACTTTCTGATTCCACAAAAAGAGTGTTTTAAAACGGCTCTGTAAAAACAAAAGTTCAACTCTGTTAGTTGAATACACACATCACAAACAAGTTTCTGAGAATGCTTCTGTCTAGTTTTTATGGGAAGATATTTCCTTTTTCACCATAGGCCTCAAAGCGCTCGAAATGTCCACTTCCAGATAGTGCCGAAAGAGTGTTTCAAACGTGCTCTATAAAAGGGAATATTCAACTCCTGTGACTTGAATGGAAACATCACAAAGCAGTTTCTGAGAATGCCTCCCTCTAGATTTTATATGGAGATATTCCCTTTTCCAACGAAATCTTCAAATCTATCTAAATATCAACTTGCAGATTCTACTCAAGGAATGTTTCCAAAATGCTGTATCCAGGCAATGGTTCAACTCTGTTAATTGAGGACATACAGCACAAAGAAGTTTCTGAGAATGCTTCTGTCTAGATTTTATATGAAGATATCCCGTTTCCAACGAAATCCTCAAAGCTATCCAAATATCCACTTGCAGATTCTACAAAAAGATTGTTTCAAAACTGCTGTGTCAAGAGGAAGGTTCAACTCTGTTACTTGAGTACACACATCAAAAAGAAGTTTCTGAGAATGCTTGTTTCTGGTTTTTATGAGAAGATATTTCCTTTTTCACCATAGGCCTCAAAGCGCTGCAAATGTCCACTTCCAAATATTACAAAAAGAGTGTTTCAAACCTGCTCTATGAAAGGAAGTTTTCAACTCTATGAGTGGAATGCAAACATCACAGAGAAGTTTCTGAGAATGCATCTGTCTTGAGCTTCTATGAAGAAATTCCCGTTTCCAACGAAATCTTAAAATCTATCCAAATATCCACCTGCAGATCCTACAAAAGGAGTGTTTCCAAAATGCTGTATCAAAACAAAGGTTCAACTGTGTTCGTTTAGGACACACATCACAAATAAGTTTCTGAGAATCCTTCTGTCTAGTTTTTATTTGAAGATATTTCCTTTCTCCCCGTAGGCCTGAAAGCGCTTGAAATGTCCACTTCCAGATACTACAGAAAGAGTGTTTCAAACCTGCACTCTGAAAAGGAATGTTCAATTCTGTGACTTGAATGCAAACATCAGAAAGAAGTTCCTGAGAATGCTTCTCTCTAGATTTTATACGTCATCCCGTTTCCAACGAAATCCACAAAGCTATCCAATTATCCACTTTCAGATTCCACAAAGAGTGTTTTAAAATTGCTCTGTAACAGAAATGTTCAACTCTGTTAGTTGAATACACACATCACAAACAAGTTTCTGAGACGGCTTCTGTCTAGTTTTTATGGGAAGATATTTCCTTTTAACCATAGGCCTCAAAGAGCTCGAAATATCCACTTCCAGGTAGTGCCGAAAGAGTGTTTCAAACCTACTCTATAAAAGGGAATATTCAACTCTGTGACTTGAATGCAAACATCACAAAGCAGTTTCTGAGAATGCTTCCGTCTAGATTTTCTATGAAGATATTCCCGTTTCCAACGAAATCTTCAAAGCTATCTAAATATCAACTTGCAGATTCTACTAAAGGAATGTCTCCAAAATGCTGTATCCAAACAAAGGTTCAGCTCTGTGAATTGAGGACATACAGCACAAAGAAGTTTCTGAGAATGCTCCTGTCTGGATTTTATATGAAGATAACCCGTTTCCAACGAAATCCTCAAAGCTATCCAAATATCCACTTGCAGATTCTACCAAAAGAGTGTTTCAAAACTGCTCTGTCAAAAGGAAGGTTCAACACTGTTACTTGAGTACACACAACACAAAGAAGTTTCTGAGAATGCTTCTTTCTGGTTTTTATGAGAAGATATTTCCTTTTTCACCATAGGCCTCAAAGCGCTCGAAATGTCCGCTTCCAGGTAGTGCAGAAAGAGTGTTTCAAACCTGCTCTATGAAAGGAAGTGTTCAACTCTACTGAGTTGAATGCAAACATCACAGAGATGTTTCCGAGAATGCTTCTGTCTTGATTTTACATGAAGATATTCCGGTTTCCAACGAAATCTTCAAAGCTATCCAAATATCCACCTGCAGATTCTACAAAAGGAGTGTTTCCAAAATGCTGTATCAAAACAAAGGTTCAACTCTGTTAGTTGAGGACACACATCACAAATAAGTTTCTGAGAATGCTTCTGTCTAGTTTTTATTTGAAGGTATTTCCTTTCTCTCCATAGGCCTGAAAGCGCTTGAAATGCCCACTTCCAGATACTAGAGAAAGAGTGTTTCAAACCTGCTCTATGAAAGGGAATGTTCAATTCTGTGACTTGAATGCAAACATCACAAAGAAGTTCCTGAGAATGCTTCTCTCTAGATATTATATGTCATCCCGTTTCCAACGAAATCCTCAAAGCTATCCAAATATCCACTTGCAGATTCTACAAAAAGAGTGTTTCAAAACTGCTCTGTCAAAAGGATGGTTCAACACTGTTACATGAGTACACACAACACAAAGAAGTTTCTGAGAATGCTTCTTTCTGGTTTCTATGAGAAGATATTTCCTTTTTCACCATAGGACTCAAAGCGCTCGAAATGTCCTCTTCCAGGTAGTGCAGAAAGAGTGTTTCAAACCGGCTCTATGAAAGGAAGTGTTCAACTCCATGAACTGAATGCAAACATCACTGAGAAGTTTCTGAGAATGCTTCTGTTTGATTTTATATGAAGAAATTCCCGTTTCCAACGAAATCTTCAGAGCTATCCACATATCCACCTGCAGATTCTACAAAAGGAGTGTTTCCAAAATGCTGTATCAAAACCAAAGTTCAACTCTGTTAGTTGAGGACACACATCACAAATAAGTTTCTGAGAATGCTTCTGTCTAGATTCTATATGAAGATATCCCCTTTCCAACGAATCCCTCTAAGCTATCCAAATATCCACCTGCAGATTCTACAAAAAGAGTGTTTCCAAAATGCTGTATCAAAACAAAGTTTCAACTCTGTTAGTTGAGGACACACATCACAAATAAGTTTGAGGATGCTTCTGTCTAGTTTTTATTCGAAGATATTTCCTTTCTCACCATAGGCCTGAAAGCGCTTGAAATGTCCACTTCCAGATACTACAGAATGAGTGTTTCAAACCTGCTCTATCAAAGTGAATGTTCAATTCTGTGACTTCAATGCAAACATCACAAAGAAGTTCCTGAGAATGCTTCTCTCTAGATTTTATATGTAATCCCGCTTCCAACGAAATCCTCAGAGCCATCCGAATATCCACTTTCTGATTCCACAAAAAGAGTGTTTTAAAACGGCTCTGTAAAAACAAAAGTTCAACTCTGTTAGTTGAATACACACATCAAAAACAAGTTTCTGAGAATGCTTCTGTCTAGTTTTTATGGGAAGATATTTCCTTTTTCACCATAGGCCTCACAGCGCTCGAAATGTCCACTTCCAGATAGTGCAGAAAGAGTGTTTCAAACGTGCTCTATAAAAGGGAATATTCAACTCTGTGACTTGAATGGAAACATCACAAAGCAGTTTCTGAGAATGCTTCCCTCTAGATTTTATATGGAGATATTCCGTTTTCGAACGAAATCTTCAAATCTATCTAAATATCAACTTGCAGATTCTACTCAAGGAATGTTTCCAAAATGCTGTATGCAAGCAATGGTTCAACTCTGTTAATTGAGGTCATACAGCACAAAGAAGTTTCTGAGAATGCTTCTGTCTAGATTTTATATGAAGATATCCCGTTTCCAACGAAATCCTCAAAGCTATCCAAATATCCACTTGCAGATTCTACAAAAAGATTGTTTCAAAACTGCTGTGTCAAAAGGAAGGTTCAACTCTGTTACTTGAGTACACACATCAAAAAGAAGTTTCTGAGAATGCTTGTTTCTGGTTTTTATGAGAAGATATTTCCTTTTTCACCATAGGCCTCAAAGCGCTGCAAATGTCCACTTCCAAATATTACAAAAAGAGTGTTTCAAACCTGCTCTATGAAAGGAAGTTTTCAACTCTATGAGTGGAATGCAAACATCACAGAGAAGTTTCTGAGAATGCATCTGTCTTGAGTTTCTATGCAGAAATTCCCGTTTCCAACGAAATCTTAAAATCTATCCAAATATCCACCTGCAGATCCTACAAAAGGAGTGTTTCCAAAATGCTGTATCAAAACAAAGGTTCAACTGTGTTCGTTTAGGACACACATCACAAATAAGTTTCTGAGAATCCTTCTGTCTAGTTTTTATTTGAAGATATTTCCTTTCTCCCCGTAGGCCTGAAAGCGCTTGAAATGTCCACTTCCAGATACTACAGAAAGAGTGTTTCAAACCTGCACTCTGAAAAGGAATGTTCAATTCTGTGACTTGAATGCAAACATCAGAAAGAAGTTCCTGAGAATGCTTCTCTCTAGATTTTATACGTCATCCCGTTTCCAACGAAATCCACAAAGCTATCCAATTATCCACTTTCAGATTCCACAGAAAGAGTGTTTTAAAATTGCTCTGTAACAGAAATGTTCAACTCTGGTAGTTGAATACACACATCACAAACAAGTTTCTGAGACGGCTTCTGTCTAGTTTTTATGGGAAGATATTTCCTTTTAACCATAGGCCTCAAAGAGCTCGAAATATCCACTTCCAGGTAGTGCCGAAAGAGTGTTTCAAACCTACTCTATAAAAGGGAATATTCAACTCTGTGACTTGAATGCAAACATCACAAAGCAGTTTCTGAGAATGCTTCCGTCTAGATTTTCTATGAAGATATTCCCGTTTCCAACGAAATCTTCAAAGCTATCTAAATATCAACTTGCAGATTCTACTAAAGGAATGTCTCCAAAATGCTGTATCCAAACAAAGGTTCAGCTCTGTGAATTGAGGACATACAGCACAAAGAAGTTTCTGAGAATGCTCCTGTCTGGATTTTATAGGAAGATAACCCGTTTCCAACGAAATCCTCAAAGCTATCCAAATATCCACTTGCAGATTCTACCAAAAGAGTGTTTCAAAACTACTCTGTCAAAAGGAAGGTTCAACACTGTTACTTGAGTACACACAACACAAAGAAGTTTCTGAGAATGCTTCTTTCTGGTTTTTATGAGAAGATATTTCCTTTTTCACCATAGGCCTCAAAGCGCTCGAAATGTCCGCTTCCAGGTAGTGCAGAAAGAGTGTTTCAAACCTGCTCTATGAAAGGAAGTGTTCAACTCTACTGAGTTGAATGCAAACATCACAGAGATGTTTCCGAGAATGCTTCTGTCTTGATTTTATATGAAGATATTCCGGTTTCCAACGAAATCTTCAAAGCTATCCAAATATCCACCTGCAGATTCTACAAAAGGAGTGTTTCCAAAATGCTGTATCAAAACAAAGGTTCAACTCTGTTAGTTGAGGACACACATCACAAATAAGTTTCTGAGAATGCTTCTGTCTAGTTTTTTATTTGAAGGTATTTCCTTTCTCTCCATAGGCCTGAAAGCGCTTGAAATGCCCACTTCCAGATACTAGAGAAAGAGTGTTTCAAACCTGCTCTATGAAAGGGAATGTTCAATTCTGTGACTTGAATGCAAACATCACAAAGAAGTTCCTGAGAATGCTTCTCTCTAGATTTTATACGTAATCCCGCTTCCAACGAAATCCTCAGAGCCATCCGAATATCCACTTTCTGATTCCACAAAAAGAGTGTTTTAAAACGGCTCTGTAAAAACAAAAGTTCAACTCTGTTAGTTGAATACACACATCACAAACAAGTTTCTGAGAATGCTTCTGTCTAGTTTTTATGGGAAGATATTTCCTTTTTCACCATAGGCCTCAAAGCGCTCGAAATGTCCGCTTCCAGATAGTGCAGAAAGAGTGTTTCAAACGTGCTCTATAAAAGGGAATATTCAACTCTGTGACTTGAATGGAAACATCACAAAGCAGTTTCTGAGAATGCTTCCCTCTAGATTTTATATGGAGATATTCCCTTTTCCAACGAAATCTTCAAATCTATCTAAATATCAACTTGCAGATTCTACTCAAGGAATGTTTCCAAAATGCTGTATCCAGGCAATGGTTCAACTCTGTTAATTGAGGACATACAGCACAAAGAAGTTTCTGAGAATGCTTCTGTCTAGATTTTATATGAAGATATCCCGTTTCCAACGAAATCCTCAAAGCTATCCAAATATCCACTTGCAGATTCTACAAAAAGATTGTTTCAAAACTGCTGTGTCAAGAGGAAGGTTCAACTCTGTTACTTGAGTACACACATCAAAAAGAAGTTTCTGAGAATGCTTGTTTCTGGTTTTTATGAGAAGATATTTCCTTTTTCACCATAGGCCTCAAAGCGCTGCAAATGTCCACTTCCAAATATTACAAAAAGAGTGTTTCAAACCTGCTCTATGAAAGGAAGTTTTCAACTCTATGAGTGGAATGCAAACATCACAGAGAAGTTTCTGAGAATGCATCTGTCTTGAGCTTCTATGAAGAAATTCCCGTTTCCAACGAAATCTTAAAATCTATCCAAATATCCACCTGCAGATCCTACAAAAGGAGTGTTTCCAAAATGCTGTATCAAAACAAAGGTTCAACTGTGTTCGTTTAGGACACACATCACAAATAAGTTTCTGAGAATCCTTCTCTCTAGTTTTTATTTGAAGATATTTCCTTTCTCCCTGTAGGCCTGAAAGCGCTTGAAATGTCCACTTCCAGATACTACAGAAAGAGTGTTTCAAACCTGCACTCTGAAAAGGAATGTTCAATTCTGTGACTTGAATGCAAACATCAGAAAGAAGTTCCTGAGAATGCTTCTCTCTAGATTTTAAACGTAATCCCGTTTGCAACGAAATCCACAAAGCTATCCAATTATCCACTTTCAGATTCCACCAAAAGACTGTTTTAAAACTGCTCTGTAAAAAGAAATGTTCAACGCTCTTAGTTGAATACACACATCTCAAACAAGTTTCTGAGAAGGCTTCCGTCTAGTTTTTACGGGAAGATATTTCCTTTTTCACCATAGGCCTCAAAGCGCTCGAAATCTCCACTTCCAGGGAGTGCAGAAAGAGTGTTTCAAACCTGCTCTATAAAAGAATATTTAACTCTGTGACTTGAATGCAAACATCACAGAGCAGTTTCTGACAATGCTTCCGTCTAGATTTTTTATGAAGATATTCCCGTTTCCAACGAAATCTTCAAAGCTATCTAAATATCAACTTGCAGATTCTACTAAAGGAATGTTTCCAAAATGCTGTATCCAAACAAAGGTTCAACTCTGTGAATTGAGGACATACAGCACAAAGAAGTTTCTGAGAATGCTCCTGTCTGGATTTTATATGAAGATAACCCGTTTCCAACGAAATCCTCAAAGCTATCCAAATATCCACTTGCAGATTCTACCAAAAGAGTGTTTCAAAACTACTCTGTCAAAAGTAAGGTTCAACACTGTTACTTGAGTACACACAACACAAAGAAGTTTCTGAGAATGCTTCTTTCTGGTTTTTATGAGAAGATATTTCCTTTTTCACCATAGGCCTCAAAGCGCTCGAAATGTCCGCTTCCAGGTAGTGCAGAAAGAGTGTTTCAAACCTGCTCTATGAAAGGAAGTGTTCAACTCTACTGAGTTGAATGCAAACATCACAGAGATGTTTCCGAGAATGCTTCTGTCTTGATTTTATATGAAGATATTCCGGTTTCCAACGAAATCTTCAAAGCTATCCAAATATCCACCTGCAGATTCTACAAAAGGAGTGTTTCCAAAATGCTGTATCAAAACAAAGGTTCAACTCTGTTAGTTGAGGACACACATCACAAATAAGTTTCTGAGAATGCTTCTGTCTAGTTTTTATTTGAAGGTATTTCCTTTCTCTCCATAGGCCTGAAAGCGCTTGAAATGCCCACTTCCAGATACTAGAGAAAGAGTGTTTCAAACCTGCTCTATGAAAGGGAATGTTCAATTCTGTGACTTGAATGCAAACATCACAAAGAAGTTCCTGAGAATGCTTCTCTCTAGATATTATATGTCATCCCGTTTCCAACGAAATCCTCAAAGCTATCCAAATATCCACTTGCAGATTCTACAAAAAGAGTGTTTCAAAACTCCTCTGTCAAAAGGATGGTTCAACACTGTTACATGAGTACACACAACACAAAGAAGTTTCTGAGAATGCTTCTTTCTGGTTTTTATGAGAAGATATTTCCTTTTTCACCATAGGCCTCAAAGCGCTTGAAATGTCTACTTCCTGGTAGTGCAGAAAGAGTGTTTCAAAGGTGCTCTCTGAAAGGATGTGTTCAACTCCATGAGCTGAATGCAAACATCACAGAGAAGTTTCTGAGAATGCTTCTGTTTGATTTTCTATGAAGAAATTCCCGTTTCCAACGAAATCTTCAGAGCTATCCACATATCCACCTGCAGATTCTACAAAAGGAGTGTTTCCAAAATGCTGTATCAAAACCAAGGTTCAACTCTGTTAGTTGAGGACACACATCACAAATAAGTTTCTGAGAATGCTTCTGTCTAGATTCTATATGAAGATATCCCCTTTCCAACGAATCCCTCTAAGCTATCCAAATATCCACCTGCAGATTCTACAAAAAGAGTGTTTCCAAAATGCTGTATCAAAACAAAGTTTCAACTCTGTTAGTTGAGGACACACATCACAAATAAGTTTGAGGATGCTTCTGTCTAGTTTTTATTCGAAGATATTTCCTTTCTCACCATAGGCCTGAAAGCGCTTGAAATGTCCACTTCCAGATACTACAGAATGAGTGTTTCAAACCTGCTCTATCAAAGTGAATGTTCAATTCTGTGACTTCAATGCAAACATCACAAAGAAGTTCCTGAGAATGCTTCTCTCTAGATTTTATATGTAATCCCGCTTCCAACGAAATCCTCAGAGCCATCCGAATATCCACTTTCTGATTCCACAAAAAGAGTGTTTTAAAACGGCTCTGTAAAAACAAAAGTTCAACTCTGTTAGTTGAATACACACATCACAAACAAGTTTCTGAGAATGCTTCTGTCTAGTTTTTATGGGAAGATATTTCCTTTTTCACCATAGGCCTCAAAGCGCTCGAAATGTCCACTTCCAGATAGCGCAGAAAGAGTGTTTCAAACGTGCTCTATAAAAGGGAATATTCAACTCTGTGACTTGAATGGAAACATCACAAAGCAGTTTCTGAGAATGCTTCCCTCTAGATTTTATATGGAGATATTCCCTTTTCCAACGAAATCTTCAAATCTATCTAAATATCAACTTGCAGATTCTACTCAAGGAATGTTTCCAAAATGCTGTATGCAAGCAATGGTTCAACTCTGTTAATTGAGGTCATACAGCACAAAGAAGTTTCTGTGAATGCTTCTGTCTAGATTTTATATGAAGATATCCCGTTTCCAACGAAATCCTCAAAGCTATCCAAATATCCACTTGCAGATTCTACAAAAAGATTGTTTCAAAACTGCTGTGTCAAAAGGAAGGTTCAACTCTGTTACTTGAGTACACACATCAAAAAGAAGTTTCTGAGAATGCTTGTTTCTGGTTTTTATGAGAAGATATTTCCTTTTTCACCATAGGCCTCAAAGCGCTGCAAAGGTCCACTTCCAAATATTACAAAAAGAGTGTTTCAAACCTGCTCTATGAAAGGAAGTTTTCAACTCTATGAGTGGAATGCAAACATCACAGAGAAGTTTCTGAGAATGCATCTGTCTTGAGTTTATATGCAGAAATTCCCGTTTCCAACGAAATCTTAAAATCTATCCAAATATCCACCTGCAGATTCTACAAAAGGAGTGTTTCCAAAATGCTGTATCAAAACAAAGGTTCAACTGTGTTCGTTTAGGACACACATCACAAATAAGTTTCTGAGAATCCTTCTGTCTAGTTTTTATTTGAAGATATTTCCTTTCTCCCCATAGGCCTGAAAGCGCTTGAAATGTCCACTTCCAGATACTACAGAAAGAGTGTTTCAAACCTGCACTCTGAAAAGGAATGTCAATTCTGTGACTTGAATGCAAACATCAGAAAGAAGTTCCTGAGAATGCTTCTCTCTAGATTTTATACGTCATCCCGTTTCCAACGAAATCCACAAAGCTACCCAATTATCCACTTTCAGATTCCACAAAAAGAGTGTTTTAAAATTGCTCTGTAACAGAAGTGTTCAACTCTGTTAGTTGAATACACACATCACAAACAAGTTTCTGAGACGGCTTCTGTCTAGTTTTTATGGGAAGATATTTCCTTTTAACCATAGGCCTCAAAGAGCTCGAAATATCCACTTCCAGGTAGTGCCGAAAGAGTGTTTCAAACCTACTCTATAAAAGGGAATATTCAACTCTGTGACTTGAATGCAAACATCACAAAGCAGTTTCTGAGAATGCTTCCGTCTAGATTTTCTATGAAGATATTCCCGTTTCCAACGAAATCTTCAAAGCTATCTAAATATCAACTTGCAGATTCTACTAAAGGAATGTCTCCAAAATGCTGTATCCAAACAAAGGTTCAGCTCTGTGAATTGAGGACATACAGCACAAAGAAGTTTCTGAGAATGCTCCTGTCTGGATTTTATAGGAAGATAACCCGTTTCCAACGAAATCCTCAAAGCTATCCAAATATCCACTTGCAGATTCTACCAAAAGAGTGTTTCAAAACTGCTCTGTCAAAAGGAAGGTTCAACACTGTTACTTGAGTACACACAACACAAAGAAGTTTCTGAGAATGCTTCTTTCTGGTTTTTATGAGAAGATATTTCCTTTTTCACCATAGGCCTCAAAGCGCTCGAAATGTCCGCTTCCAGGTAGTGCAGAAAGAGTGTTTCAAACCTGCTCTATGAAAGGAAGTGTTCAACTCTACTGAGTTGAATGCAAACATCACAGAGATGTTTCCGAGAATGCTTCTGTCTTGATTTTATATGAAGATATTCCGGTTTCCAACGAAATCTTCAAAGCTATCCAAATATCCACCTGCAGATTCTACAAAAGGAGTGTTTCCAAAATGCTGTATCAAAACAAAGGTTCAACTCTGTTAGTTGAGGACACACATCACAAATAAGTTTCTGAGAATGCTTCTGTCTAGTTTTTATTTGAAGGTATTTCCTTTCTCTCCATAGGCCTGAAAGCGCTTGAAATGCCCACTTCCAGATACTAGAGAAAGAGTGTTTCAAACCTGCTCTATGAAAGGGAATGTTCAATTCTGTGACTTGAATGCAAACATCACAAAGAAGTTCCTGAGAATGCTTCCTCTCTAGATATTATATGTCATCCCGTTTCCAACGAAATCCTCAAAGCTATCCAAATATCCACTTGCAGATTCTACAAAAAGAGTGTTTCAAAACTCCTCTGTCAAAAGGATGGTTCAACACTGTTACATGAGTACACACAACACAAAGAAGTTTCTGAGAATGCTTCTTTCTGGTTTCTATGAGAAGATATTTCCTTTTTCACCATAGGACTCAAAGCGCTCGAAATGTCCTCTTCCAGGTAGTGCAGAAAGAGTGTTTCAAACCTGCTCTATGAAAGGAAGTGTACAACTCCATGAGCTGAATGCAAACATCACTGAGAAGTTTCTGAGAATGCTTCTGTTTGATTTTATATGAAGAAATTCCCGTTTCCAACGAAATCTTCAGAGCTATCCACATATCCACCTGCAGATTCTACAAAAGGAGTGTTTCCAAAATGCTGTATCAAAACCAAGGTTCAACTCTGTTAGTTGAGGACACACATCACAAATAAGTTTCTGAGAATGCTTCTGTCTAGATTTTATATGAAGATATCCCCTTTCCAACGAATCCCTCTAAGCTATCCAAATATCCACCTGCAGATTCTACAAAAAGAGTGTTTCCAAAATGCTGTATCAAAACAAAGTTTCAACTCTGTTAGTTGAGGACACACATCACAAATAAGTTTCTGAGAATGCTTCTGTCTAGTTTTTATTCGAAGATATTTCCTTTCTCACCATAGGCCTGAAAGCGCTTGAAATGTCCACTTCCAGATACTACAGAATGAGTGTTTCAAACCTGCTCTATAAAAGTGAATGTTCAATTCCGTGACTTCAATGCAAACATCAGAAAGAAGTTCCTGAGAATGCTTCTCTCTAGATTTTATACGTAATCCCGCTTCCAACGAAATCCTCAGAGCCATCCGAATATCCACTTTCTGATTCCACAAAAAGAGTGTTTTAAAACGGCTCTGTAAAAACAAAAGTTCAACTCTGTTAGTTGAATACACACATCACAAACAAGTTTCTGAGAATGCTTCTGTCTAGTTTTTATGGGAAGATATTTCCTTTTTCACCATAGGCCTCAAAGCGCTCGAAATGTCCGCTTCCAGATAGTGCAGAAAGAGTGTTTCAAACGTGCTCTATAAAAGGGAATATTCAACTCTGTGACTTGAATGGAAACATCACAAAGCAGTTTCTGAGAATGCTTCCCTCTAGATTTTATATGGAGATATTCCCTTTTCCAACGAAATCTTCAAATCTATCTAAATATCAACTTGCAGATTCTACTCAAGGAATGTTTCCAAAATGCTGTATCCAGGCAATGGTTCAACTCGGTTAATTGAGGACATACACCACAAAGAAGTTTCTGAGAATGCTTCTGTCTAGATTTTATATGAAGATATCCCGTTTCCAACGAAATCCTCAAAGCTATCCAAATATCCACTTGCAGATTCTACAAAAAGATTGTTTCAAAACTGCTGTGTCAAAAGGAAGGTTCAACTCTGTTACTTGAGTACACACATCAAAAAGAAGTTTCTGAGAATGCTTGTTTCTGGTTTTTATGAGAAGATATTTCCTTTTTCACCATAGGCCTCAAAGCGCTGCAAATGTCCACTTCCAAATATTACAAAAAGAGTGTTTCAAACCTGCTCTATGAAAGGAAGTTTTCAACTCTATGAGTGGAATGCAAACATCACAGAGAAGTTTCTGAGAATGCATCTGTCTTGAGTTTATATGCAGAAATTCCCGTTTCCAACGAAATCTTAAAATCTATCCAAATATCCACCTGCAGATCCTACAAAAGGAGTGTTTCCAAAATGCTGTATCAAAACAAAGGTTCAACTGTGTTCGTTTAGGACACACATCACAAATAAGTTTCTGAGAATCCTTCTGTCTAGTTTTTATTTGAAGATATTTCCTTTCTCCCCGTAGGCCTGAAAGCGCTTGAAATGTCCACTTCCAGATACTACAGAAAGAGTGTGTTTCAAACCTGCACTCTGAAAAGGAATGTTCAATTCTGTGACTTGAATGCAAACATCAGAAAGAAGTTCCTGAGAATGCTTTCTCTCTAGTATTTATACGTCATCCCGTTTCCAACGAAATCCACAAAGCTATCCAATTATCCACTTTCAGATTCCACAAAAAGAGTGTTTTAAAATTGCTCTGTAACAGAAATGTTCAACTCTGGTAGTTGAATACACACATCACAAACAAGTTTCTGAGACGGCTTCTGTCTAGTTTTTATGGGAAGATATTTCCTTTTAACCATAGGCCTCAAAGAGCTCGAAATATCCACTTCCAGGTAGTGCCGAAAGAGTGTTTCAAACCTACTCTATAAAAGGGAATATTCAACTCTGTGACTTGAATGCAAACATCACAAAGCAGTTTCTGAGAATGCTTCCGTCTAGATTTTCTATGAAGATATTCCCGTTTCCAACGAAATCTTCAAAGCTATCTAAATATCAACTTGCAGATTCTACTAAAGGAATGTCTCCAAAATGCTGTATCCAAACAAAGGTTCAGCTCTGTGAATTGAGGACATACAGCACAAAGAAGTTTCTGAGAATGCTCCTGTCTGGATTTTATAGGAAGATAACCCGTTTCCAACGAAATCCTCAAAGCTATCCAAATATCCACTTGCAGATTCTACCAAAAGAGTGTTTCAAAACTACTCTGTCAAAAGGAAGGTTCAACACTGTTACTTGAGTACACACAACACAAAGAAGTTTCTGAGAATGCTTCTTTCTGGTTTTTATGAGAAGATATTTCCTTTTTCACCATAGGCCTCAAAGCGCTCGAAATGTCCGCTTCCAGGTAGTGCAGAAAGAGTGTTTCAAACCTGCTCTATGAAAGGAAGTGTTCAACTCTACTGAGTTGAATGCAAACATCACAGAGATGTTTCCGAGAATGCTTCTGTCTTGATTTTATATGAAGATATTCCGGTTTCCAACGAAATCTTCAAAGCTATCCAAATATCCACCTGCAGATTCTACAAAAGGAGTGTTTCCAAAATGCTGTATCAAAACAAAGGTTCAACTCTGTTAGTTGAGGACACACATCACAAATAAGTTTCTGAGAATGCTTCTGTCTAGTTTTTATTTGAAGGTATTTCCTTTCTCTCCATAGGCCTGAAAGCGCTTGAAATGCCCACTTCCAGATACTAGAGAAAGAGTGTTTCAAACCTGCTCTATGAAAGGGAATGTTCAATTCTGTGACTTGAATGCAAACATCACAAAGCAAGTTCCTGAGAATGCTTCTCTCTAGATATTATATGTCATCCCGTTTCCAACGAAATCCTCAAAGCTATCCAAATATCCACTTGCAGATTCTACAAAAAGAGTGTTTCAAAACTCCTCTGTCAAAAGGATGGTTCAACACTGTTACATGAGTACACACAACACAAAGAAGTTTCTGAGAATGCTTCTTTATGGTTTTTATGAGAAGATATTTCCTTTTTCACCATAGGCCTCAAAGCGCTCGAAATGTCCACTTCCTGGTAGTGCAGAAAGAGTGTTTCAAAGCTGCTCTCTGAAAGGAAGTGTTCAACTCCATGAGCTGAATGCAAACATCACTGAGTAGTTTCTGAGAATGCTTCTGTTTGATTTTATATGAAGAAATTCCCGTTTCCAACGAAATCTTCAGAGCTATCCACATATCCACCTGCAGATTCTACAAAAGGAGTGTTTCCAAAATGCTGTATCAAAACCAAGGTTCAACTCTGTTAGTTTAAGACACACATCACAAATAAGTTTCTGAGAATGCTTCTGTCTAGATTTTATATGAAGATATCCCCTTTCCAACGAATCCCTCTAAGCTATCCAAATATCCACCTGCAGATTCTACAAAAAGAGTGTTTCCAAAATGCTGTATCAAAACAAAGTTTCAACTCTGTTAGTTGAGGACACACATCACCAATTAGTTTGAGGATGCTTCTGTCTAGTTTTTATTCGAAGATATTTCCTTTCTCACCATAGGCCTGAAAGCGCTTGAAATGTCCACTTCCAGATACTACAGAATGAGTGTTTCAAACCTGCTCTATCAAAGTGAATGTTCAATTCTGTGACTTCAATGCAAACATCACAAAGAAGTTCCTGAGAATGCTTCTCTCTAGATTTTATACGTAATCCCGCTTCCAACGAAATCCTCAGAGCCATCCGAATATCCACTTTCTGATTCCACAAAAAGAGTGTTTTAAAACGGCTCTGTAAAAACAAAAGTTCAACTCTGTTAGTTGAATACACACATCACAAACAAGTTTCTGAGAATGCTTCTGTCTAGTTTTTATGGGAAGATATTTCCTTTTTCACCATAGGCCTCAAAGCGCTCGAAATGTCCGCTTCCAGATAGTGCAGAAAGAGTGTTTCAAACGTGCTCTATAAAAGGGAATATTCAACTCTGTGACTTGAATGGAAACATCACAAAGCAGTTTCTGAGAATGCTTCCCTCTAGATTTTATATGGAGATATTCCCTTTTCCAACGAAATCTTCAAATCTATCTAAATATCAACTTGCAGATTCTACTCAAGGAATGTTTCCAAAATGCTGTATCCAGGCAATGGTTCAACTCTGTTAATTGAGGACATACAGCACAAAGAAGTTTCTGAGAATGCTTATCTGTCTAGATTTTATATGAAGATATCCCGTTTCCAACGAAATCCTCAAAGCTATCCAAATATCCACTTGCAGATTCTACAAAAAGATTGTTTCAAAACTGCTGTGTCAAAAGGAAAGTTCAACTCTGTTACTTGAGTACACACATCAAAAAGAAGTTTCTGAGAATGCTTGTTTCTGGTTTTTATGAGAAGATATTTCCTTTTTCACCATAGGCCTCAAAGCGCTGCAAATGTCCACTTCCAAATATTACAAAAAGAGTGTTTCAAACCTGCTCTATGAAAGGAAGTTTTCAACTCTATGAGTGGAATGCAAACATCACAGAGAAGTTTCTGAGAATGCATCTGTCTTGAGCTTCTATGAAGAAATTCCCGTTTCCAACGAAATCTTAAAATCTATCCAAATATCCACCTGCAGATCCTACAAAAGGAGTGTTTCCAAAATGCTGTATCAAAACAAAGGTTCAACTGTGTTCGTTTAGGACACACATCACAAATAAGTTTCTGAGAATCCTTCTGTCTAGTTTTTATTTGAAGATATTTCCTTTCTCCCCGTAGGCCTGAAAGCGCTTGAAATGTCCACTTCCAGATACTACAGAAAGAGTGTTTCAAACCTGCACTCTGAAAAGGAATGTTCAATTCTGTGACTTGAATGCAAACATCAGAAAGAAGTTCCTGAGAATGCTTCTCTCTAGATTTTATACGTCATCCCGTTTCCAACGAAATCCACAAAGCTACCCAATTATCCACTTTCAGATTCCACAAAAAGAGTGTTTTAAAATTGCTCTGTAACAGAAGTGTTCAACTCTGTTAGTTGAATACACATATCACAAACAAGTTTCTGAGACGGCTTCTGTCTAGTTTTTATGGGAAGATATTTCCTTTTAACCATAGGCCTCAAAGAGCTCGAAATATCCACTTCCAGGTAGTGCCGAAAGAGTGTTTCAAACCTACTCTATAAAAGGGAATATTCAACTCTGTGACTTGAATGCAAACATCACAAAGCAGTTTCTGAGAATGCTTCTGTCTAGATTTTCTATGAAGATATTCCCGTTTCCAACGAAATCTTCAAAGCTATCTAAATATCAACTTGCAGATTCTACTAAAGGAATGTCTCCAAAATGCTGTATCCAAACAAAGGTTCAGCTCTGTGAATTGAGGACATACAGCACAAAGAAGTTTCTGAGAATGCTCCTGTCTGGATTTTATATGAAGATAACCCGTTTCCAACGAAATCCTCAAAGCTATCCAAATATCCACTTGCAGATTCTACCAAAAGAGTGTTTCAAAACTGCTCTGTCAAAAGGAAGGTTCAACACTGTTACTTGAGTACACACAACACAAAGAAGTTTCTGAGAATGCTTCTTTCTGGTTTTTATGAGAAGATATTTCCTTTTTCACCATAGGCCTCAAAGAGCTCGAAATGTCCGCTTCCAGGTAGGGCAGAAAGAGTGTTTCAAACCTGCTCTAGGAAAGGAAGTGTTCAACTCTACTGAGTTGAATGCAAACATCACAGAGATGTTTCCGAGAATGCTTCTGTCTTGATTTTATATGAAGATATTCCGGTTTCCAACGAAATCTTCAAAGCTATCCAAATATCCACCTGCAGATTCTACAAAAGGAGTGTTTCCAAAATGCTGTATCAAAACAAAGGTTCAACTCTGTTAGTTGAGGACACACATCACAAATAAGTTTCTGAGAATGCTTCTGTCTAGTTTTTATTTGAAGGTATTTCCTTTCTCTCCATTGGCCTGAAAGCGCTTGAAATGCCCACTTCCAGATACTAGAGAAAGAGTGTTTCAAACCTGCTCTATGAAAGGGAATGTTCAATTCTGTGACTTGAATGCAAACATCACAAAGAAGTTCCTGAGAATGCTTCTCTCTAGATATTATATGTCATCCCGTTTCCAACGAAATCCTCAAAGCTATCCAAATATCCACTTGCAGATTCTACAAAAAGAGTGTTTCAAAACTGCTCTGTCAAAAGGATGGTTCAACACTGTTACATGAGTACACACAACACAAAGAAGTTTCTGAGAATGCTTCTTTCTGGTTTCTATGAGAAGATATTTCCTTTTTCACCATAGGACTCAAAGCGCTCGAAATGTCCTCTTCCAGGTAGTGCAGAAAGAGTGTTTCAAACCGGCTCTATGAAGGGAAGTGTTCAACTCCATGAACTGAATGCAAACATCACTGAGAAGTTTCTGAGAATGCTTCTGTTTGATTTTATATGAAGAAATTCCCGTTTCCAACGAAATCTTCAGAGCTATCCACATATCCACCTGCAGATTCTACAAAAGGAGTGTTTCCAAAATGCTGTATCAAAACCAAGGTTCAACTCTGTTAGTTGAGGACACACATCACAAATAAGTTTCTGAGAATGCTTCTGTCTAGATTTTATATGAAGATATCCCCTTTCCAACGAATCCCTCTAAGCTATCCAAATATCCACCTGCAGATTCTACAAAAAGAGTGTTTCCAAAATGCTGTATCAAAACAAAGTTTCAACTCTGTTAGTTGAGGACACACATCACAAATAAGTTTCTGAGGATGCTTCTGTCTAGTTTTTATTTGAAGATATTTCCTTTCTCACCATAGGCCTGAAAGCGCTTGAAATGTCCACTTCCAGATACTACAGAATGAGTGTTTCAAACCTGCTCTATCGACGTGAATGTTCAATTCTGTGACTTCAATGCAAACATCACAAAGTAGTTCTTGAGAATGCTTCTCTCTAGATTTTATATGTAATCCCGCTTCCAACGAAATCCTCAGAGCCATCCGAATATCCACTTTCTGATTCCACAAAAAGAGTGTTTTAAAACGGCTCTGTAAAAACAAAAGTTCAACTCTGTTAGTTGAATACACACATCACAAACAAGTTTCTGAGACTGCTTCTGTCTAGTTTTTATGGGAAGATATTTCCTTTTTCACCATAGGCCTCAAAGCGCTCGAAATGTCCACTTCCAGATAGTGCAGAAAGAGTGTTTCAAACGTGCTCTATAAAAGGGAATATTCAACTCTGTGACTTGAATGGAAACATCACAAAGCAGTTTCTGAGAATGCTTCCCTCTAGATTTTATATGGAGATATTCCCTTTTCCAACGAAATCTTCAAATCTATCTAAATATCAACTTGCAGATTCTACTCAAGGAATGTTTCCAAAATGCTGTATCCAAGCAATGGTTCAACTCTGTTAATTGAGGACATACAGCACAAAGAAGTTTCTGAGAATGCTTCTGTCTAGATTTTATATGAAGATATCCCGTTTCCAACGAAATCCTCAAAGCTATCCAAATATCCACTTGCAGATTCTACAAAAAGATTGTTTCAAAACTGCTGTGTCAAAAGGAAGGTTCAACTCTGTTACTTGAGTACACACATCAAAAAGAAGTTTCTGAGAATGCTTGTTTCTGGTTTTTATGAGAAGATATTTCCTTTTTCACCATAGGCCTCAAAGCGCTGCAAATGTCCACTTCCAAATATTACAAAAAGAGTGTTTCAAACCTGCTCTATGAAAGGAAGTTTTCAACTCTATGAGTGGAATGCAAACATCACAGAGAAGTTTCTGAGAATGCATCTGTCTTGAGTTTATATGCAGAAATTCCCGTTTCCAACGAAATCTTAAAATCTATCCAAATATCCACCTGCAGATCCTACAAAAGGAGTGTTTCCAAAATGCTGTATCAAAACAAAGGCTCAACTGTGTTCGTTTAGGACACACATCACAAATAAGTTTCTGAGAATCCTTCTGTCTAGTTTTTATTTGAAGATATTTCCTTTCTCCCCGTAGGCCTGAAAGCGCTTGAAATGTCCACTTCCAGATACTACAGAAAGAGTGTTTCAAACCTGCACTCTGAAAAGGAATGTTCAATTCTGTGACTTGAATGCAAACATCAGAAAGAAGTTCCTGAGGATGCTTCTCTCTAGATTTTATACGTCATCCCGTTTCCAACGAAATCCACAAAGCTATCCAATTATCCACTTTCAGATTCCACAGAAAGAGTGTTTTAAAATTGCTCTGTAACAGAAATGTTCAACTCTGGTAGTTGAATACACACATCACAAACAAGTTTCTGAGACGGCTTCTGTCTAGTTTTTATGGGAAGATATTTCCTTTTAACCATAGGCCTCAAAGAGCTCGAAATATCCACTTCCAGGTAGTGCCGAAAGAGTGTTTCAAACCTACTCTATAAAAGGGAATATTCAACTCTGTGACTTGAATGCAAACATCACAAAGCAGTTTCTGAGAATGCTTCCGTCTAGATTTTCTATGAAGATATTCCCGTTTCCAACGAAATCTTCAAAGCTATCTAAATATCAACTTGCAGATTCTACTAAAGGAATGTCTCCAAAATGCTGTATCCAAACAAAGGTTCAGCTCTGTGAATTGAGGACATACAGCACAAAGAAGTTTCTGAGAATGCTCCTGTCTGGATTTTATATGAAGATAACCCGTTTCCAACGAAATCCTCAAAGCTATCCAAATATCCACTTGCAGATTCTACCAAAAGAGTGTTTCAAAACTGCTCTGTCAAAAGGAAGGTTCAACACTGTTACTTGAGTACACACAACACAAAGAAGTTTCTGAGAATGCTTCTTTCTGGTTTTTATGAGAAGATATTTCCTTTTTCACCATAGGCCTCAAAGCGCTCGAAATGTCCGCTTCCAGGTAGTGCAGAAAGAGTGTTTCAAACCTGCTCTATGAAAGGAAGTGTTCAACTCTACTGAGTTGAATGCAAACATCACAGAGATGTTTCCGAGAATGCTTCTGTCTTGATTTTATATGAAGATATTCCGGTTTCCAACGAAATCTTCAAAGCTATCCAAATATCCACCTGCAGATTCTACAAAAGGAGTGTTTCCAAAATGCTGTATCAAAACAAAGGTTCAACTCTGTTAGTTGAGGACACACATCACAAATAAGTTTCTGAGAATGCTTCTGTCTAGTTTTTATTTGAAGGTATTTCCTTTCTCTCCATAGGCCTGAAAGCGCTTGAAATGCCCACTTCCAGATACTAGAGAAAGAGTGTTTCAAACCTGCTCTATGAAAGGGAATGTTCAATTCTGTGACTTGAATGCAAACATCACAAAGAAGTTCCTGAGAATGCTTCTCTCTAGATATTATATGTCATCCCGTTTCCAACGAAATCCTCAAAGCTATCCAAATATCCACTTGCAGATTCTACAAAAAGAGTGTTTCAAAACTGCTCTGTCAAAAGGATGGTTCAACACTGTTACATGAGTACACACAACACAAAGAAGTTTCTGAGAATGCTTCTTTCTGGTTTCTATGAGAAGATATTTCCTTTTTCACCATAGGACTCAAAGCGCTCGAAATGTCCTCTTCCAGGTAGTGCAGAAAGAGTGTTTCAAACCGGCTCTATGAAAGGAAGTGTTCAACTCCATGAACTGAATGCAAACATCACTGAGAAGTTTCTGAGAATGCTTCTGTTTGATTTTATATGAAGAAATTCCCGTTTCCAACGAAATCTTCAGAGCTATCCACATATCCACCTGCAGATTCTACAAAAGGAGTGTTTCCAAAATGCTGTATCAAAACCAAAGTTCAACTCTGTTAGTTGAGGACACACATCACAAATAAGTTTCTGAGAATGCTTCTGTCTAGATTCTATATGAAGATATCCCCTTTCCAACGAATCCCTCTAAGCTATCCAAATATCCACCTGCAGATTCTACAAAAAGAGTGTTTCCAAAATGCTGTATCAAAACAAAGTTTCAACTCTGTTAGTTGAGGACACACATCACAAATAAGTTTGAGGATGCTTCTGTCTAGTTTTTATTCGAAGATATTTCCTTTCTCACCATAGGCCTGAAAGCGCTTGAAATGTCCACTTCCAGATACTACAGAATGAGTGTTTCAAACCTGCTCTATCAAAGTGAATGTTCAATTCTGTGACTTCAATGCAAACATCACAAAGAAGTTCCTGAGAATGCTTCTCTCTAGATTTTATATGTAATCCCGCTTCCAACGAAATCCTCAGAGCCATCCGAATATCCACTTTCTGATTCCACAAAAAGAGTGTTTTAAAACGGCTCTGTAAAAACAAAAGTTCAACTCTGTTAGTTGAATACACACATCACAAACAAGTTTCTGAGAATGCTTCTGTCTAGTTTTTATGGGAAGATATTTCCTTTTTCACCATAGGCCTCAAAGCGCTCGAAATGTCCACTTCCAGATAGCGCAGAAAGAGTGTTTCAAACGTGCTCTATAAAAGGGAATATTCAACTCTGTGACTTGAATGGAAACATCACAAAGCAGTTTCTGAGAATGCTTCCCTCTAGATTTTATATGGAGATATTCCGTTTTCGAACGAAATCTTCAAATCTATCTAAATATCAACTTGCAGATTCTACTCAAGGAATGTTTCCAAAATGCTGTATGCAAGCAATGGTTCAACTCTGTTAATTGAGGTCATACAGCACAAAGAAGTTTCTGAGAATGCTTCTGTCTAGATTTTATATGAAGATATCCCGTTTCCAACGAAATCCTCAAAGCTATCCAAATATCCACTTGCAGATTCTACAAAAAGATTGTTTCAAAACTGCTGTGTCAAAAGGAAGGTTCAACTCTGTTACTTGAGTACACACATCAAAAAGCAGTTTCTGAGAATGCTTGTTTCTGGTTTTTATGAGAAGATATTTCCTTTTTCACCATAGGCCTCAAAGCGCTGCAAATGTCCACTTCCAAATATTACAAAAAGAGTGTTTCAAACCTTCTCTATGAAAGGAAGTTTTCAACTCTATGAGTGGAATGCAAACATCACAGAGAAGTTTCGGAGAATGCATCTGTCTTGAGTTTATATGAAGAAATTCCCGTTTCCAATGAAATCTTAAAATCTATCCAAATATCCACCTGCAGATTCTACAAAAGGAGTGTTTCCAAAATGCTGTATCAAAACAAAGGTTCAACTGTGTTCGTTTAGGACACACATCACAAATAAGTTTCTGAGAATCCTTCTGTCTAGTTTTTATTTCAAGATATTTCCTTTCTCCCCATAGGCTTGAAAGCGCTTGAAATGTCCACTTCCAGATACTACAGAGTGTTTCAAACCTGCACTATGAAAAGGAATGTTCAATTCTGTGACTTGAATGCAAACATCAGAAAGAAGTTCCTGAGAATGCTTCTCTCTAGATTTTAAACGTAATCCCGTTTCCAACGAAATCCACAAAGCTATCCCGTTAACCACTTTCAGATTCCACCAAAAGAGTGTTTTAAAACAGCTCTGTAAAAAGAAATGTTCAACGCTCTTAGTTGAATACACACATCTCAAACAAGTTTCTGAGAAGGCTTCTGTCTAGTTTTTATGGGAAGATATTTCCTTTTAACCATAGGCCTCAAAGAGCTCGAAATATCCACTTCCAGGTAGTGCCGAAAGAGTGTTTCAAACCTACTCTATAAAAGGGAATATTCAACTCTGTGACTTGAATGCAAACATCACAAAGCAGTTTGCTGAGAATGCTTCCGTCTAGCATTTTCTATGAAGATATTCCCGTTTCCAACGAAATCTTCAAAGCTATCTAAATATCAACTTGCAGATTCTACTAAAGGAATGTCTCCAAAATGCTGTATCCAAACAAAGGTTCAGCTCTGTGAATTGAGGACATACAGCACAAAGAAGTTTCTGAGAATGCTCCTGTCTGGATTTTATATGAAGATAACCCGTTTCCAACGAAATCCTCAAAGCTATCCAAATATCCACTTGCAGATTCTACCAAAAGAGTGTTTCAAAACTGCTCTGTCAAAAGGAAGGTTCAACACTGTTACTTGAGTACACACAACACAAAGAAGTTTCTGAGAATGCTTCTTTCTGGTTTTTATGAGAAGATATTTCCTTTTTCACCATAGGCCTCAAAGAGCTCGAAATGTCCGCTTCCAGGTAGGGCAGAAAGAGTGTTTCAAACCTGCTCTATGAAAGGAAGTGTTCAACTCTACTGAGTTGAATGCAAACATCACAGAGATGTTTCCGAGAATGCTTCTGTCTTGATTTTATAGGAAGATATTCCGGTTTCCAACAAAATCTTCAAAGCTATCCAAATATCCACCTGCAGATTCTACAAAAGGAGTGTTTCCAAAATGCTGTATCAAAACAAAGGTTCAACTCTGTTAGTTGAGGACACACATCACAAATAAGTTTCTGAGAATGCTTCTGTCTAGTTTTTATTTGAAGGTATTTCCTTTCTCTCCATAGGCCTGAAAGCGCTTGAAATGCCCACTTCCAGATACTAGAGAAAGAGTGTTTCAAACCTGCTCTATGAAAGGGAATGTTCAATTCTGTGACTTGAATGCAAACATCACAAAGAAGTTCCTGAGAATGCTTCTCTCTAGATATTATATGTCATCCCGTTTCCAACGAAATCCTCAAAGCTATCCAAATATCCACTTGCAGATTCTACAAAAAGAGTGTTTCAAAACTGCTCTGTCAAAAGGATGGTTCAACACTGTTACATGAGTACACACAACACAAAGAAGTTTCTGAGAATGCTTCTTTCTGGTTTCTATGAGAAGATATTTCCTTTTTCACCATAGGACTCAAAGCGCTCGAAATGTCCTCTTCCAGGTAGTGCAGAAAGAGTGTTTCAAACCTGCTCTATGAAAGAAGTGTTCAACTCCATGAGCTGAATGCAAACATCACTGAGAAGTTTCTAAGAATGCTTCTGTTTGATTTTATATGAAGAAATTCCCGTTTCCAACGAAATCTTCAAAGCTATCCACATATCCACCTGCAGATTCTACAAAAGAAGTGTTTCCAAAATGCTGTATCAAAACCAAGGTTCAACTCTGTTAGTTGAGGACACACATCACAAATAAGTTTCTGAGAATGCTTCTGTCTAGATTTTATATGAAGATATCCCCTTTCCAACGAATCCCTCTAAGCTATCCAAATATCCACCTGCAGATTCTACAAAAAGAGTGTTTCCAAAATGCTGTATCAAAACAAAGTTTTAACTCTGTTAGTTGAGGACACACATCACAAATAGGTTTCTGAGGATGCTTCTGTCTAGTTTTTATTCGAAGATATTTCCTTTCCCACCATAGGCCTGAAAGCGCTTGAAATGTCCACTTCCAGATACTACAGAATGAGTGTTTCAAACCTGCTCTATCAAAGTGAATGTTCAATTCTGTGACTTCAATGCAAACATCACAAAGAAGTTCCTGAGAATGCTTCTCTCTAGATTTTATATGTAATCCCGCTTCCAACGAAATCCTCAGAGCCATCCGAATATCCACTTTCTGATTCCACAAAAAGAGTGTTTTAAAACGGCTCTGTAAAAACAAAAGTTCAACTCTGTTAGTTGAATACACACATCACAAACAAGTTTCTGAGAATGCTTCCGTCTGGTTTTTATGGGAAGATATTTCCTTTTTCACCATAGGCCTCAAAGCGCTCGAAATCTCCACTTCCAGGGAGTGCAGAAAGAGTGTTTCAAACCTGCTCTATAAAAGAATATTTAACCCTGTGACTTGAATGCAAACATCACAGAGCAGTTTCTGACAATGCTTCCGTCTAGATTTTTTATGAAGATATTCCCGTTTCCAATGAAATCTTCAAAGCTATCTAAATATCAACTTGCAGATTCTACTAAAGGATGTTTCCAAAATTCTGTATCCAAACAAAGGTTCAACTCTGTGAATTGAGGACATACAGCACAAAGAAGTTTCTGAGAATGCTTCTGTCTAGATTTAATATGAAGATAACCCGTTTGCAACGACATCCTCAAAGCTATCCAAATATCCACTGGCAGATTCTACAAAAAGAGTGTTTCAAAACTGCTCTGTCAAAAGGATGGTTCAACACTGTTACATGAGTACACACAACACAAAGAAGTTTCTGAGAACGCTTCTTTCTGGTTTTTATGAGAAGATATTTCCTTTTTCACCATAGGCCTCAAAGCGCTCGAAAGGTCCACTTCCAGGTAGTGCAGAAAGAGTGTTTCAAACCTGCTCTATGAAAGGAAGTGTTCAACTCCATGAGCTGAATGCAAACATCACAGAGAAGTTCCTGAGAATGCTTCTGTTTGATTTTATATGAAGAAATTCCCGTTTCCAACGAAATCTTCAAAGCTATCCACATATCCACCTGCAGATTCTTCAAAAGGAGTGTTTCCAAAATGCTGTATCAAAACCAAGGTTCAACTCTGTTAGTTGAGGACACACATCACAAATAAGTTTCTGAGAATGCTTCTGTCTAGATTTTATATGAAGATATCCCCTTTCCAACGAATCCCTCTAAGCTATCCAAGTATCCACCTGCAGATTCTACAAAAAGAGTGTTTCCAAAATGCTGTATCAAAACAAAGTTTCAACTCTGTTAGTTGAGGACACACATCACAAATAAGTTTCTGAGGATGCTTCTGTCTAGTTTTAATTTGAAGATATTTCCTTTCTCCCCATAGGCCTGAAAGCGCTTGAAATGTCCACTTCCAGATACTACAGAATGAGTGTTTCAAACCTGCTCTATCAAAGTGAATGTTCAATTCTGTGACTTCAATGCAAACATCACAAAGTAGTTCCTGAGAATGCTTCTCTCTAGATTTTATATGTAATCCCGCTTCCAACGAAATCCTCAAAGCCATCCGAATATCCACTTTCTGATTCCACAAAAAGATTGTTTTAAAACTGCTCTGTAAAAACAAAAGTTCAAGTCTGTTAGTTGAATACACACATCACAAACAAGTTTCTGAGAATACTTCTGTCTAGTTTTTATGGGAAGATACTTCCTTTTTCACCATAGGCCTCAAAGCGCTCGAAATGTCCACTTCCAGATAGTGCAGAAAGAGTGTTTCAAACGTGCTCTATAAAAGAGAATATTCAACTCTGTGACTTGAATGGAAACATCACAAAGCAGTTTCTGAGAATGCCTCCGTCTAGATTTTATATGAAGATATTCCCGTTTCCAACGAAATCTTCAAAGCTATCTAAATATCAACTTGCAGATTCTACTAAAGGAATGTTTCCAAAATGCTGTATCCAAGCAATGGTTCAACTCTGTTAATTGAGGACATACAGCACAAAGAAGTTTCTGAGAATGCTTCTGTCTAGATTTTATATGAAGATATCCCGTTTCCAACGAAATCCTCAAAGCTATCCAAATATCCACTTGCAGATTCTACAAAAAGATTGTTTCAAAACTGCTGTGTCAAAAGGAAGGTTCAACTCTGTTACTTGAGTACACACATCAAAAAGCAGTTTCTGAGAATGCTTGTTTCTGGTTTTTATGAGAAGATATTTCCTTTTTCACCATAGGCCTCAAAGCGCTGCAAATGTCCACTTCCACATATTACAAAAAGAGTGTTTCAAACCTGCTCTATGAAAGGAAGTTTTCAACTCTATGAGTGGAATGCAAACATCACAGAGAAGTTTCTGAGAATGCATCTGTCTTGAGCTTCTATGAAGAAATTCCCGTTTCCAACGAAATCTTAAAATCTCTCCAAATATCCACCTGCAGATCCTACAAAAGGAGTGTTTCCAAAATGCTGTATCAAAACAAAGGTTCAACTGTGTTCGTTTAGGACACACATCACAAATAAGTTTCTGAGAATCCTTCTGTCTAGTTTTTATTTGAAGATATTTCCTTTCTCCCCGTAGGCCTGAAAGCGCTTGAAATGTCCACTTCCAGATACTACAGAAAGAGTGTTTCAAACCTGCACTCTGAAAAGGAATGTTCAATTCTGTGACTTGAATGCAAACATCAGAAAGAAGTTCCTGAGAATGCTTCTCTCTAGATTTTATACGTCATCCCGTTTCCAACGAAATCCACAAAGCTATCCAATTATCCACTTTCAGATTCCACAAAGAGCGTTTTAAAATTGCTCTGTAACAGAAATGTTCAACTCTGTTAGTTGAATACACACATCACAAACAAGTTTCTGAGACGGCTTCTGTCTAGTTTTTATGGGAAGATATTTCCTTTTAACCATAGGCCTCAAAGAGCTCGAAATATCCACTTCCAGGTAGTGCCGAAAGAGTGTTTCAAACCTACTCTATAAAAGGGAATATTCAACTCTGTGACTTGAATGCAAACATCACAAAGCAGTTTCTGAGAATGCTTCCGTCTAGATTTTCTATGAAGATATTCCCGTTTCCAACGAAATCTTCAAAGCTATCTAAATATCAACTTGCAGATTCTACTAAAGGAATGTCTCCAAAATGCTGTATCCAAACAAAGGTTCAGCTCTGTGAATTGAGGACATACAGCACAAAGAAGTTTCTGAGAATGCTCCTGTCTGGATTTTATAGGAAGATTACCCGTTTCCAACGAAATCCTCAAAGCTATCCAAATATCCACTTGCAGATTCTACCAAAAGAGTGTTTCAAAACTGCTCTGTCAAAAGGAAGGTTCAACACTGTTACTTGAGTACACACAACACAAAGAAGTTTCTGAGAATGCTTCTTTCTGGTTTTTATGAGAAGATATTTCCTTTTTCACCATAGGCCTCAAAGCGCTCGAAATGTCCGCTTCCAGGTAGTGCAGAAAGAGTGTTTCAAACCTGCTCTATGAAAGGAAGTGTTCAACTCTACTGAGTTGAATGCAAACATCACAGAGATGTTTCCGAGAATGCTTCTGTCTTGATTTTATATGAAGATATTCCGGTTTCCAACGAAATCTTCAAAGCTATCCAAATATCCACCTGCAGATTCTACAAAAGGAGTGTTTCCAAAATGCTGTATCAAAACAAAGGTTCAACTCTGTTAGTTGAGGACACACATCACAAATAAGTTTCTGAGAATGCTTCTGTCTAGTTTTTATTTGAAGGTATTTCCTTTCTCTCCATAGGCCTGAAAGCGCTTGAAATGCCCACTTCCAGATACTAGAGAAAGAGTGTTTCAAACCTGCTCTATGAAAGGGAATGTTCAATTCTGTGACTTGAATGCAAACATCACAAAGAAGTTCCTGAGAATGCTTCTCTCTAGATATTATATGTCATCCCGTTTCCAACGAAATCCTCAAAGCTATCCAAATATCCACTTGCAGATTCTACAAAAAGAGTGTTTCAAAACTGCTCTGTCAAAAGGATGGTTCAACACTGTTACATGAGTACACACAACACAAAGAAGTTTCTGAGAATGCTTCTTTCTGGTTTCTATGAGAAGATATTTCCTTTTTCACCATAGGACTCAAAGCGCTCGAAATGTCCTCTTCCAGGTAGTGCAGAAAGAGTGTTTCAAACCGGCTCTATGAAAGGAAGTGTTCAACTCCATGAACTGAATGCAAACATCACTGAGAAGTTTCTGAGAATGCTTCTGTTTGATTTTATATGAAGAAATTCCCGTTTCCAACGAAATCTTCAGAGCTATCCACATATCCACCTGCAGATTCTACAAAAGGAGTGTTTCCAAAATGCTGTATCAAAACCAAAGTTCAACTCTGTTAGTTGAGGACACACATCACAAATAAGTTTCTGAGAATGCTTCTGTCTAGATTCTATATGAAGATATCCCCTTTCCAACGAATCCCTCTAAGCTATCCAAATATCCACCTGCAGATTCTACAAAAAGAGTGTTTCCAAAATGCTGTATCAAAACAAAGTTTCAACTCTGTTAGTTGAGGACACACATCACAAATAAGTTTGAGGATGCTTCTGTCTAGTTTTTATTCGAAGATATTTCCTTTCTCACCATAGGCCTGAAAGCGCTTGAAATGTCCACTTCCAGATACTACAGAATGAGTGTTTCAAACCTGCTCTATCAAAGTGAATGTTCAATTCTGTGACTTCAATGCAAACATCACAAAGAAGTTCCTGAGAATGCTTCTCTCTAGATTTTATATGTAATCCCGCTTCCAACGAAATCCTCAGAGCCATCCGAATATCCACTTTCTGATTCCACAAAAAGAGTGTTTTAAAACTGCTCTGTAGAAACAAAAGTTCAACTCAGTTGAATACACACATCACAAACAAGTTTCTGAGAATGCTTCTGTCTAGTTTTTATGGGAAGATATTTCCTTTTTCACCATAGGCCTCAAAGCGCTCGAAATGTCCACTTCCAGATAGTGCAGAAAGAGTGTTTCAAACGTGCTCTAGAAAAGAGAATATTCAACTCTGTGACTTGAATGGAAACATCACAAAGCAGTTTCTGAGAATGCTTCCGTCTAGATTTTATATGAAGATATTCCCGTTTCCAACGAAATCTTCAAATCTATCTAAATATCAACTTGCAGATTCTACTAAAGGAATGTTTCCAAAATGCTGTATCCAAGCAATGGTTCAACTCTGTTAATTGAGGACATACAGCACAAAGAAGTTTCTGAGAATGCTTCTGTCTAGATTTTATATGAAGATATCCCGTTTCCAACGAAATCCTCAAAGCTATCCAAATATCCACTTGCAGATTCTACAAAAAGATTGTTTCAAAACTGCTGTGTCAAAAGGAAGGTTCAACTCTGTTACTTGAGTACACACATCAAAAAGAAGTTTCTGAGAATGCTTGTTTCTGGTTTTTATGAGAAGATATTTCCTTTTTTCACCATAGGCCTCAAAGCGCTGCAAATGTCCACTTCCAAATATTACAAAAAGAGTGTTTCAAACCTGCTCTATGAAAGGAAGTTTTCAACTCCTATGAGTGGAATGCAAACATCACAGAGAAGTTTCTGAGAATGCATCTGTCTTGAGTTTATATGAAGAAATTCCCGTTTCCAATGAAATCTTAAAATCTTTCCAAATATCCACCTGCAGATTCTACAAAAGGAGTGTTTCCTAAATGCTGTATCAAAACAAAGGTTCAACTGTGTTCGTTTAGGACACACATCACAAATAAGTTTCTGAGAATCCTTCTGTCTAGTTTTTATTTCAAGATATTTCCTTTCTCCCCATAGGCTTGAAAGCGCTTGAAATGTCCACTTCCAGATACTACAGAGTGTTTCAAACCTGCACTATGAAAAGGAATGTTCAATTCTGTGACTTGAATGCAAACATCAGAAAGAAGTTCCTGAGAATGCTTCTCTCTAGATTTTAAACGTAATCCCGTTTCCAACGAAATCCACAAAGCTATCCAATTATCCACTTTCAGATTCCACCAAAAGAGTGTTTTAAAACTGCTCTGTAAAAAGAAATGTTCAACGCTCTTAGTTGAATACACACATCTCAAACAAGTTTCTGAGAAGGCTTCCGTCTAGTTTTTATGGGAAGATATTTCCTTTTTCACCATAGGCCTCAAAGCGCTCGAAATCTCCACTTCCAGGGAGTGCAGAAAGAGTGTTTCAAACCTGCTCTATAAAAGAATATTTAACTCTGTGACTTGAATGCAAACATCACAGAGCAGTTTCTGACAATGCTTCCGTCTAGATATTTTATGAAGATATTCCCGTTTCCAACGAAATCTTCAAAGCTATCTACATATCAACTTGCAGATTCTACTAAAGGAATGTTTCCAAAATGCTGTATCCAAACAAAGGTTCAACTCTGTGAATTGAGGACATACAGCACAAAGAAGTTTCTGAGAATGCTTCTGTCTAGATTTAATATGAAGATAACCTGTTTCCAACGAAATCCTCAAAGCTATCCAAATATCCACTTGCAGATTCTACAAAAAAAGTGTTTCAAAACTGCTCTGTCAAAAGGATGGTTCAACACTGTTACATGAGTACACACAACACAAAGAAGTTTCTGAGAACTCTTCTTTCTGGTTTTTATGAGAAGATATTTCCTTTTTCACCATAGGCCTCAAAGCGCTCGAAATGTCCACTTCCAGGTAGTGCAGAAAGAGTGTTTCAAACCTGCTCTATGAAAGGAAGTGTTCAACTCCATGAGCTGAATGCAAACATCACAGAGAAGTTCCTGAGAATGCTTCTGTTTGATTTTATATGAAGAAATTCCCGTTTCCAACGAAATCTTCAAAGCTATCCACATATCCACCTGCAGATTCTTCAAAAGGAGTGTTTCCAAAATGCTGTATCAAAACCAAGGTTCAACTCTGTTAGTTGAGGACACACATCACAAATAAGTTTCTGAGAATGCTTCTGTCTAGATTTTATATGAACATATCTCCTTTCCAACGAATCCCTCTAAGCTATCCAAATATCCACCTGCAGATCCTACAAAAAGAGTGTTTCCAAAATGCTGTATCAAAACAAAGTTTCCACTCTGTTAGTTGAGGACACACATCACAAATAAGTTTCTGAGGATGCTTCTGTCTAGTTTTAATTTGAAGATATTTCCTTTCTCACCATAGGCCTGAAAGCGCTTGAAATGTCCACTTCCAGATACTACAGAATGAGTGTTTCAAACCTGCTCTATCAAAGTGAATGTTCAATTCTGTGACTTCAATGCAAACATCACAAAGTAGTTCCTGAGAATGCTTCTCTCTAGATTTTAAATGTAATCCCGCTTCCAACGAAATCCTCAAAGCCATCCGAATATCCACTTTCTGATTCCACAAAAAGATTGTTTTAAAACTGCTCTGTAAAAACAAAAGTTCAAGTCTGTTAGTTGAATACACACATCACAAACAAGTTTCTGAGAATGCTTCTGTCTAGTTTTTATGGGAAGATACTTCCTTTTTCACCATAGGCCTCAAAGCGCTCGAAATGTCCACTTCCAGATAGTGCAGAAAGAGTGTTTCAAACGTGCTCTATAAAAGAGAATATTCAACTCTGTGACTTGAATGGAAACATCACAAAGCAGTTTCTGAGAATGCCTCCGTCTAGATTTTATATGAAGATATTCCCGTTTCCAACGAATTCTTCAAATCTATCTAAATATCAACTTGCAGATTCTACTAAAGGAATGTTTCCAAAATGCTGTATCCAAGCAATGGTTCAACTCTGTTAATTGAGGACATACAGCACAAAGAAGTTTCTGAGAATGCTTCTGTCTGGATTTTATATGAACATATCCCGTTTCCAACGAAATCCTCAAAGCTATCCAAATATCCACTTGCAGATTCTACAAAAAGATTGTTTCAAAACTGCTGTGTCAAAAGGAAGGTTCAACTCTGTTACTTGAGTACACACATCAAAAAGCAGTTTCTGAGAATGCTTGTTTCTGGTTTTTATGAGAAGATATTTCCTTTTTCACCATAGGCCTCAAAGCGCTGCAAATGTCCACTTCCAAATATTACAAAAAGAGTGTTTCAAACCTGCTCTATGAAAGGAAGTTTTCAACTCTATGAGTGGAATGCAAACATCACAGAGAAGTTTCTGAGAATGCATCTGTCTTGAGTTTATATGAAGAAATTCCCGTTTCCAATGAAATCTTAAAATCTATCCAAATATCCACCTGCAGATTCTACAAAAGGAGTGTTTCCAAAATGCTGTATCAAAACAAAGGTTCAACTGTGTTCGTTTAGGACACACATCACAAATAAGTTTCTGAGAATCCTCCTGTCTAGTTTTTATTTCAAGATATTTCCTTTCTCCCCATAGGCCTGAAAGCGCTTGAAATGTCCACTTCCAGATACTACAGAGTGTTTCAAACCTGCACTATGAAAAGGAATGTTCAATTCTGTGACTTGAATGCAAACATCAGAAAGAAGTTCCTGAGAATGCTTCTCTCTAGATTTTAAACGTAATCCCGTTTCCAACGAAATCCACAAAGCTATCCAATTATCCACTTTCAGATTCCACCAAAAGAGTGTTTTAAAACTGCTCTGTAAAAAGAAATGTTCAACGCTCTTAGTTGAATACACACATCTCAAACAAGTTTCTGAGAAGGCTTCCGTCTAGTTTTTACAGGAAGATATTTCCTTTTTCACCATAGGCCTCAAAGCGCTCGAAATCTCCACTTCCAGGGAGTGCAGAAAGAGTGTTTCAAACCTGCTCTATAAAAGAATATTTAACTCTGTGACTTGAATGCAAACATCACAGAGCAGTTTCTGACAATGCTTCCGTCTAGATTTTTTATGAAGATATTCCCGTTTCCAACGAAATCTTCAAAGCTATCTAAATATCAACTTGCAGATTCTACTAAAGGAATGTTTCCAAAATGCTGTATCCAAACAAAGGTTCAACTCTGTGAATTGAGGACATACAGCACAAAGAAGTTTCTGAGAATGCTTCTGTCTAGATTTAATATGAAGATAACCCGTTTCCAACGAAATCCTCAAAGCTATCCAAATATCCACTGGCAGATTCTACAAAAAGAGTGTTTCAAAACTGCTCTGTCAAAAGGATGGTTCAACACTGTTACATGAGTACACACAACACAAAGAAGTTTCTGAGAACGCTTCTTTCTGGTTTTTATGAGAGGATATTTCCTTTTTCACCATAGGCCTCAAAGCGCTCGAAATGTCCACTTCCAGGTAGTGCAGAAAGAGTGTTTCAAACCTGCTCTATGAAAGGAAGTGTTCAACTCCATGAGCTGAATGCAAACATCACAGAGAAGTTCCTGAGAATGCTTCTGTTTGATTTTATATGAAGAAATTCCCGTTTCCAACGAAATCTTCAAAGCTATCCACATATCCACCTGCAGATTCTTCAAAAGGAGTGTTTCCAAAATGCTGTATCAAAACCAAGGTTCAACTCTGTTAGTTGAGGACACACATCACAAGTAAGTTTCTGAGAATGCTTCTGTCTAGATTTTATATGAATTTATCCCCTTTCCAACGAATCCCTCTAAGCTATCCAAGTATCCACCTGCAGATTCTACAAAAAGAGTGTTTCCAAAATGCTGTATCAAAACAAAGTTTCAACTCTGTTAGTTGAGGACACACATCACAAATAAGTTTCTGAGGATGCTTCTGTCTAGTTTTAATTTGAAGATATTTCCTTTCTCCCCATAGGCCTGAAAGCGCTTGAAATGTCCACTTCCAGATACTACAGAATGAGTGTTTCAAACCTGCTCTATCAAAGTGAATGTTCAATTCTGTGACTTCAATGCAAACATCACAAAGTAGTTCCTGAGAATGCTTCTCTCTACATTTTATATGTAATCCCGCTTCCAACGAAATCCTCAAAGCCATCCGAATATCCACTTTCTGATTCCACAAAAAGATTGTTTTAAAACTGCTCTGTAAAAACAAAAGTTCAAGTCTGTTAGTTGAATACACACATCACAAACAAGTTTCTGAGAATGCTTCTGTCTAGTTTTTATGGGAAGATATTTCCTTTTTCACCATAGGCCTCAAAGCGCTCGAAATGTCCACTTCCAGATAGTGCAGAAAGAGTGTTTCAAACGTGCTCTATAAAAGAGAATATTCAACTCTGTGACTTGAATGGAAACATCACAAAGCAGTTTCTGAGAATGCCTCCGTCTAGATTTTATATGAAGATATTCCCGTTTCCAACGAAATCTTCAAAGCTATCTAAATATCAACTTGCAGATTCTACTAAAGGAATGTTTCCAAAATGCTGTATCCAAGCAATGGTTCAACTCTGTTAATTGAGGACATACAGCACAAAGAAGTTTCTGAGAATGCTTCTGTCTAGATTTTATATGAAGATATCCCGTTTCCAACGAAATCCTCAAAGCTATCCAAATATCCACTTGCAGATTCTACAAAAAGATTGTTTCAAAACTGCTGTGTCAAAAGGAAGGTTCAACTCTGTTACTTGAGTACACACATCAAAAAGCAGTTTCTGAGAATGCTTGTTTCTGGTTTTTATGAGAAGATATTTCCTTTTTCACCATAGGCCTCAAAGCGCTGCAAATGTCCACTTCCAAATATTACAAAAAGAGTGTTTCAAACCTGCTCTATGAAAGGAAGTTTTCAACTCTGTGAGTGGAATGCAAACATCACAGAGAAGTTTCTGAGAATGCATCTGTCTTGAGTTTATATGAAGAAATTCCCGTTTCCAATGAAATCTTAAAATCTATCCAAATATCCACCTGCAGATTCTACAAAAGGAGTGTTTCCAAAATGCTGTATCAAAACAAAGGTTCAACTGTGTTCGTTTAGGACACACATCACAAATAAGTTTCTGAGAATCCTTCTGTCTAGTTTTTATTTCAAGATATTTCCTTTCTCCCCATAGGCTTGAAAGCGCTTGAAATGTCCACTTCCAGATACTACAGAGTGTTTCAAACCTGCACTATGAAAAGGAATGTTCAATTCTGTGACTTGAATGCAAACATCAGAGAGAAGTTCCTGAGAATGCTTCTCTCTAGATTTTAAACGTAATCCCGTTTCCAACGAAATCCACAAAGCTATCCAATTATCCACTTTCAGATTCCACCAAAAGAGTGTTTTAAAACTGCTCTGTAAAAAGAAATGTTCAACGCTCTTAGTTGAATACACACATCTCAAACAAGTTTCTGAGAAGGCTTCCGTCTAGTTTTTATGGGAAGATATTTCCTTTTTCACCATAGGCCTCAAAGCGCTCGAAATCTCCACTTCCAGGGAGTTTAGAAAGAGTGTTTCAAACCTGCTCTATAAAAGAATATTTAACTCTGTGACTTGAATGCAAACATCACAGAGCAGTTTCTGACAATGCTTCCGTCTAGATATTTTATGAAGATATTCCCGTTTCCAACGAAATCTTCAAAGCTATCTACATATCAACTTGCAGATTCTACTAAAGGAATGTTTCCAAAATGCTGTATCCAAACAAAGGTTCAACTCTGTGAATTGAGGACATACAGCACAAAGAAGTTTCTGAGAATGCTTCTGTCTAGATTTAATATGAAGATAACCTGTTTCCAACGAAATCCTCAAAGCTATCCAAATATCCACTTGCAGATTCTACAAAAAAAGTGTTTCAAAACTGCTCTGTCAAAAGGATGGTTCAACACTGTTACATGAGTACACACAACACAAAGAAGTTTCTGAGAACTCTTCTTTCTGGTTTTTATGAGAGGATATTTCCTTTTTCACCATAGGCCTCAAAGCGCTCGAAATGTCCACTTCCAGGTAGTGCAGAAAGAGTGTTTCAAACCTGCTCTATGAAAGGAAGTGTTCAACTCCATGAGCTGAATGCAAACATCACAGAGAAGTTCCTGAGAATGCTTCTGTTTGATTTTATATGAAGAAATTCCCGTTTCCAACGAAATCTTCAGAGCTATCCACATATCCACATGCAGATTCTACAAAAGGAGTGTTTCCAAAATGCTGTATCAAAACCAAGGTTCAACTCTGTTAGTTGAGGACACACATCACAAATAAGTTTCTGAGAATGCTTCTGTCTAGATTTTATATGAAGATATCCCCTTTCCAACGAATCCCTCTAAGCTATCCAAATATCCACCTGCAGATTCTACAAAGAGTGTTTCCAAAATGCTGTATCAAAACAAAGTTTCAACTCTGTTAGTTGAGGACACACATCACAAATAAGTTTCTGAGGATGCTTCTGTCTAGTTTTTATTCGAAGATATTTCCTTTCTCACCATAGGCCTGAAAGCGCTTGAAATGTCCACTTCCAGATACTACAGAATGAGTGTTTCAAACCTGCTCTATAAAAGTGAATGTTCAATTCCGTGACTTCAATGCAAACATCAGAAAGAAGTTCCTGAGAATGCTTCTCTCTAGATTTTATACGTAATCCCGCTTCCAACGAAATCCTCAGAGCCATCCGAATATCCACTTTCTGATTCCACAAAAAGAGTGTTTTAAAACGGCTCTGTAAAAACAAAAGTTCAACTCTGTTAGTTGAATACACACATCACAAACAAGTTTCTGAGAATGCTTCTGTCTAGTTTTTATGGGAAGATATTTCCTTTTTCACCATAGGCCTCAAAGCGCTCGAAATGTCCGCTTCCAGATAGTGCAGAAAGAGTGTTTCAAACGTGCTCTATAAAAGGGAATATTCAACTCTGTGACTTGAATGGAAACATCACAAAGCAGTTTCTGAGAATGCTTCCCTCTAGATTTTATATGGAGATATTCCCTTTTCCAACGAAATCTTCAAATCTATCTAAATATCAACTTGCAGATTCTACTCAAGGAATGTTTCCAAAATGCTGTATCCAAGCAATGGTTCAACTCTGTTAATTGAGGGCATACAGCACAAAGAAGTTTCTGAGAATGCTTCTGTCTAGATTTTATATGAAGATATCCCGTTTCCAACGAAATCCTCAAAGCTATCCAAATATCCACTTGCAGATTCTACAAAAAGATTGTTTCAAAACTGCTGTGTCAAAAGGAAGGTTCAACTCTGTTACTTGAGTACACACATCAAAAAGAAGTTTCTGAGAATGCTTGTTTCTGGTTTTTATGAGAAGATATTTCCTTTTTCACCATAGGCCTCAAAGCGCTGCAAATGTCCACTTCCAAATATTACAAAAAGAGTGTTTCAAACCTGCTCTATGAAAGGAAGTTTTCAACTCTATGAGTGGAATGCAAACATCACAGAGAAGTTTCTGAGAATGCATCTGTCTTGAGTTTCTATGCAGAAATTCCCGTTTCCAACGAAATCTTAAAATCTATCCAAATATCCACCTGCAGATCCTACAAAAGGAGTGTTTCCAAAATGCTGTATCAAAACAAAGGTTCAACTGTGTTCGTTTAGGACACACATCACAAATAAGTTTCTGAGAACCCTTCTGTCTAGTTTTTATTTGAAGATATTTCCTTTCTCCCCACAGGCCTGAAAGCGCTTGAAATGTCCACTTCCAGATACTACAGAAAGAGTGTTTCAAACCTGCACTATGAAAAGGAATGTTCAATTCTGTGACTTGAATGCAAACATCAGAAAGAAGTTCCTGAGAATGCTTCTCTCTAGATTTTATACGTCATCCCGTTTCCAACGAAATCCACAAAGCTATCCAATTATCCACTTTCAGATTCCACAGAAAGAGTGTTTTAAAATTGCTCTGTAACAGAAATGTTCAACTCTGGTAGTTGAATACACACATCACAAACAAGTTTCTGAGACGGCTTCTGTCTAGTTTTTATGGGAAGATATTTCCTTTTAACCATAGGCCTCAAAGAGCTCGAAATATCCACTTCCAGGTAGTGCCGAAAGAGTGTTTCAAACCTACTCTATAAAAGGGAATATTCAACTCTGTGACTTGAATGCAAACATCACAAAGCAGTTTCTGAGAATGCTTCCGTCTAGATTTTCTATGAAGATATTCCCGTTTCCAACGAAATCTTCAAAGCTATCTAAATATCAACTTGCAGATTCTACTAAAGGAATGTCTCCAAAATGCTGTATCCAAACAAAGGTTCAGCTCTGTGAATTGAGGACATACAGCACAAAGAAGTTTCTGAGAATGCTCCTGTCTGGATTGTATATGAAGATAACCCGTTTCCAACGAAATCCTCAAAGCTATCCAAATATCCACTTGCAGATTCTACCAAAAGAGTGTTTCAAAACTACTCTGTCAAAAGGAAGGTTCAACACTGTTACTTGAGTACACACAACACAAAGAAGTTTCTGAGAATGCTTCTTTCTGGTTTTTATGAGAAGATATTTCCTTTTTCACCATAGGCCTCAAAGCGCTCGAAATGTCCGCTTCCAGGTAGTGCAGAAAGAGTGTTTCAAACCTGCTCTATGAAAGGAAGTGTTCAACTCTACTGAGTTGAATGCAAACATCACAGAGATGTTTCCGAGAATGCTTCTGTCTTGATTTTATATGAAGATATTCCGGTTTCCAACGAAATCTTCAAAGCTATCCAAATATCCACCTGCAGATTCTACAAAAGGAGTGTTTCCAAAATGCTGTATCAAAACAAAGGTTCAACTCTGTTAGTTGAGGACACACATCACAAATAAGTTTCTGAGAATGCTTCTGTCTAGTTTTTATTTGAAGGTATTTCCTTTCTCTCCATAGGCCTGAAAGCGCTTGAAATGCCCACTTCCAGATACTAGAGAAAGAGTGTTTCAAACCTGCTCTATGAAAGGGAATGTTCAATTCTGTGACTTGAATGCAAACATCACAAAGAAGTTCCTGAGAATGCTTCTCTCTAGATATTATATGTCATCCCGTTTCCAACGAAATCCTCAAAGCTATCCAAATATCCACTTGCAGATTCTACAAAAAGAGTGTTTCAAAACTGCTCTGTCAAAAGGATGGTTCAACACTGTTACATGAGTACACACAACACAAAGAAGTTTCTGAGAATGTTTCTTTCTGGTTTCTATGAGAAGATATTTCCTTTTTCACCATAGGACTCAAAGCGCTCGAAATGTCCTCTTCCAGGTAGTGCAGAAAGAGTGTTTCAAACCTGCTCTATGAAAGGAAGTGTACAACTCCATGAGCTGAATGCAAACATCACTGAGAAGTTTCTGAGAATGCTTCTGTTTGATTTTATATGAAGAAATTCCCGTTTCCAACGAAATCTTCAGAGCTATCCACATATCCACATGCAGATTCTACAAAAGGAGTGTTTCCAAAATGCTGTATCAAAACCAAGGTTCAACTCTGTTAGTTGAGGACACACATCACAAATAAGTTTCTGAGAATGCTTCTGTCTAGATTTTATATGAAGATATCCCCTTTCCAACGAATCCCTCTAAGCTATCCAAATATCCACCTGCAGATTCTACAAAAAGAGTGTTTCCAAAATGCTGTATCAAAACAAAGTTTCAACTCTGTTAGTTGAGGACACACATCACAAATAAGTTTCTGAGAATGCTTCTGTCTAGTTTTTATTCGAAGATATTTCCTTTCTCACCATAGGCCTGAAAGCGCTTGAAATGTCCACTTCCAGATCCTACAGAATGAGTGTTTCAAACCTGCTCTATCAAAGTGAATGTTCAATTCTGTGACTTCAATGCAAACATCACAAAGAAGTTCCTGAGAATGCTTCTCTCTAGATTTTATATGTAATCCCGCTTCCAACGAAATCCTCAGAGCCATCCGAATATCCACTTTCTGATTCCACAAAAAGAGTGTTTTAAAACGGCTCTGTAAAAACAAAAGTTCAACTCTGTTAGTTGAATACACACATCACAAACAAGTTTCTGAGAATGCTTCTGTCTAGTTTTTATGGGAAGATATTTCCTTTTTCACCATAGGCCTCAAAGTGCTCGAAATGTCCACTTCCAGATAGTGCAGAAAGAGTGTTTCAAACGTGCTCTATAAAAGGGAATATTCAACTCTGTGACTTGAATGGAAACATCACAAAGCAGTTTCTGAGAATGCTTCCCTCTAGATTTTATATGGAGATATTCCGTTTTCGAACGAAATCTTCAAATCTATCTAAATATCAACTTGCAGATTCTACTCAAGGAATGTTTCCAAAATGCTGTATGCAAGCAATGGTTCAACTCTGTAAATTGAGGTCATACAGCACAAAGAAGTTTCTGAGAATGCTTCTGTCTAGATTTTATATGAAGATATCCCGTTTCCAACGAAATCCTCAAAGCTATCCAAATATCCACTTGCAGATTCTACAAAAAGATTGTTTCAAAACTGCTGTGTCAAAAGGAAGGTTCAACTCTGTTACTTGAGTACACACATCAAAAAGAAGTTTCTGAGAATGCTTGTTTCTGGTTTTTATGAGAAGATATTTCCTTTTTCACCATAGGCCTCAAAGCTCTGCAAATGTCCCCTTCCAAATATTACAAAAAGAGTGTTTCAAACCTGCTCTATGAAAGGAAGTTTTCAACTCTATGAGTGGAATGCAAACATCACAGAGAAGTTTCTGAGAATGCATCTGTCTTGAGTTTATATGAAGACATTCCCGTTTCCAACGAAATCTTAAAATCTATCCAAATATCCACCTGCAGATTCTACAAAAGGAGTGTTTCCAAAAGGCTGTATCAAAACAAAGGTTCAACTGTGTTCGTTTAGGACACACATCACCAATAAGTTTCTGAGAATCCTTCTGTCTAGTTTTTATTTGAAGATATTTCCTTTCTCCCCATAGGCCTGAAAGCGCTTGAAATGTCCACTTCCAGATACTACAGAAAGAGCGTTTCAAACCTGCACTATGAAAAGGAATGTTCAATTCTGTGACTTGAATGCAAACATCAGAAAGAAGTTCCTGAGAATGCTTCTCTCTAGATTTTATACGTCATCCCGTTTCCAACGAAATCCACAAAGCTATCCAATTATACACTTTCAGATTCCACAAAAAGAGTGTTTTAAATTGCTGTGTAACAGAAATGTTCAACTCTGTTAGTTGAATACACACATCACAAACAAGTTTCTGAGACGGCTTCTGTCTAGTTTTTATGGGAAGATATTTCCTTTTAACCATAGGCCTCAAAGAGCTCGAAATATCCACTTCCAGGTAGTGCCGAAAGAGTGTTTCAAACCTACTCTATAAAAGGGAATATTCAACTCTGTGACTTGAATGCAAACATCACAAAGCAGTTTCTGAGAATGCTTCCGTCTAGATTTTCTATGAAGATATTCCCGTTTCCAACGAAATCTTCAAAGCTATCTAAATATCAACTTGCAGATTCTACTAAAGGAATGTCTCCAAAATGCTGTATCCAAACAAAGGTTCAGCTCTGTGAATTGAGGACATACAGCACAAAGAAGTTTCTGAGAATGCTCCTGTCTGGATTTTATATGAAGATAACCCGTTTCCAATGAAATCCTCAAAGCTATCCAAATATCCACTTGCAGATTCTACCAAAAGAGTGTTTCAAAACTGCTCTGTCAAAAGGAAGGTTCAACACTGTTACTTGAGTACACACAACACAAAGAAGTTTCTGAGAATGCTTCTTTCTGGTTTTTATGAGAAGATATTTCCTTTTTCACCATAGGCCTCAAAGCGCTCGAAATGTCCGCTTCCAGGTAGTGCAGAAAGAGTGTTTCAAACCTGCTCTATGAAAGGAAGTGTTCAACTCTACTGAGTTGAATGCAAACATCACAGAGATGTTTCCGAGAATGCTTCTGTCTTGATTTTATATGAAGATATTCCGGTTTCCAACGAAATCTTCAAAGCTATCCAAATATCCACCTGCAGATTCTACAAAAGGAGTGTTTCCAAAATGCTGTATCAAAACAAAGGTTCAACTCTGTTAGTTGAGGACACACATCACAAATAAGTTTCTGAGAATGCTTCTGTCTAGTTTTTATTTGAAGGTATTTCCTTTCTCTCCATAGGCCTGAAAGCGCTTGAAATGCCCACTTCCAGATACTAGAGAAAGAGTGTTTCAAACCTGCTCTATGAAAGGGAATGTTCAATTCTGTGACTTGAATGCAAACATCACAAAGAAGTTCCTGAGAATGCTTCTCTCTAGATATTATATGTCATCCCGTTTCCAACGAAATCCTCAAAGCTATCCAAATATCCACTTGCAGATTCTTCAAAAAGAGTGTTTCAAAACTGCTCTGTCAAAAGGATGGTTCAACACTGTTACATGAGTACACACAACACAAAGAAGTTTCTGAGAATGCTTCTTTCTGGTTTCTATGAGAAGATATTTCCTTTTTCACCATAGGACTCAAAGCGCTCGAAATGTCCTCTTCCAGGTAGTGCAGAAAGAGTGTTTCAAACCGGCTCTATGAAGGGAAGTGTTCAACTCCATGAACTGAATGCAAACATCACTGAGAAGTTTCTGAGAATGCTTCTGTTTGATTTTATATGAAGAAATTCCCGTTTCCAACGAAATCTTCAGAGCTATCCACATATCCACCTGCAGATTCTACAAAAGGAGTGTTTCCAAAATGCTGTATCAAAACCAAGGTTCAACTCTGTTAGTTGAGGACACACATCACAAATAAGTTTCTGAGAATGCTTCTGTCTAGATTTTATATGAAGATATCCCCTTTCCAACGAATCCCTCTAAGCTATCCAAATATCCACCTGCAGATTCTACAAAAAGAGTGTTTCCAAAATGCTGTATCAAAACAAAGTTTCAACTCTGTTAGTTGAGGACACACATCACAAATAAGTTTCTGAGGATGCTTCTGTCTAGTTTTTATTCGAAGATATTTCCTTTCTCACCATAGGCCTGAAAGCGCTTGAAATGTCCACTTCCAGATACTACAGAATGAGTGTTTCAAACCTGCTCTATAAAAGTGAATGTTCAATTCCGTGACTTCAATGCAAACATCAGAAAGAAGTTCCTGAGAATGCTTCTCTCTAGATTTTATACGTAATCCCGCTTCCAACGAAATCCTCAGAGCCATCCGAATATCCACTTTCTGATTCCACAAAAAGAGTGTTTTAAAACGGCTCTGTAAAAACAAAAGTTCAACTCTGTTAGTTGAATACACACATCACAAACAAGTTTCTGAGAATGCTTCTGTCTAGTTTTTATGGGAAGATATTTCCTTTTTCACCATAGGCCTCAAAGCGCTCGAAATGTCCGCTTCCAGATAGTGCAGAAAGAGTGTTTCAAACGTGCTCTATAAAAGGGAATATTCAACTCTGTGACTTGAATGGAAACATCACAAAGCAGTTTCTGAGAATGCTTCCCTCTAGATTTTATATGGAGATATTCCCTTTTCCAACCGAAATCTTCAAATCTATCTAAATATCAACTTGCAGATTCTACTCAAGGAATGTTTCCAAAATGCTGTATCCAAGCAATGGTTCAACTCTGTTAATTGAGGACATACAGCACAAAGAAGTTTCTGAGAATGCTTCTGTCTAGATTTTATATGAAGATATCCCGTTTCCAACGAAATCCTCAAAGCTATCCAAATATCCACTTGCAGATTCTACAAAAAGATTGTTTCAAAACTGCTGTGTCAAGAGGAAGGTTCAACTCTGTTACTTGAGTACACACATCAAAAAGAAGTTTCTGAGAATGCTTGTTTCTGGTTTTTATGAGAAGATATTTCCTTTTTCACCATAGGCCTCAAAGCGCTGCAAATGTCCACTTCCAAATATTACAAAAAGAGTGTTTCAAACCTGCTCTATGAAAGGAAGTTTTCAACTCTATGAGTGGAATGCAAACATCACAGAGAAGTTTCTGAGAATGCATCTGTCTTGAGTTTATATGCAGAAATTCCCGTTTCCAACGAAATCTTAAAATCTATCCAAATATCCACCTGCAGATCCTACAAAAGGAGTGTTTCCAAAATGCTGTATCAAAACAAAGGTTCAACTGTGTTCGTTTAGGACACACATCACAAATAAGTTTCTGAGAATCCTTCTGTCTAGTTTTTATTTGAAGATATTTCCTTTCTCCCCGTAGGCCTGAAAGCGCTTGAAATGTCCACTTCCAGATACTACAGAAAGAGTGTTTCAAACCTGCACTCTGAAAAGGAATGTTCAATTCTGTGACTTGAATGCAAACATCAGAAAGAAGTTCCTGAGAATGCTTCTCTCTAGATTTTATACGTCATCCCGTTTCCAACGAAATCCACAAAGCTATCCAATTATCCACTTTCAGATTCCACAAAAAGAGTGTTTTAAAATTGCTCTGTAACAGAAATGTTCAACTCTGTTAGTTGAATACACACATCACAAACAAGTTTCTGAGACGGCTTCTGTCTAGTTTTTATGGGAAGATATTTCCTTTTAACCATAGGCCTCAAAGAGCTCGAAATATCCACTTCCAGGTAGTGCCGAAAGAGTGTTTCAAACCTACTCTATAAAAGGGAATATTCAACTCTGTGACTTGAATGCAAACATCACAAAGCAGTTTCTGAGAATGCTTCCGTCTAGATTTTCTATGAAGATATTCCCGTTTCCAACGAAATCTTCAAAGCTATCTAAATATCAACTTGCAGATTCTACTAAAGGAATGTCTCCAAAATGCTGTATCCAAACAAAGGTTCAGCTCTGTGAATTGAGGACATACAGCACAAAGAAGTTTCTGAGAATGCTCCTGTCTGGATTTTATAGGAAGATAACCCGTTTCCAACGAAATCCTCAAAGCTATCCAAATATCCACTTGCAGATTCTACCAAAAGAGTGTTTCAAAACTGCTCTGTCAAAAGGAAGGTTCAACACTGTTACTTGAGTACACACAACACAAAGAAGTTTCTGAGAATGCTTCTTTCTGGTTTTTATGAGAAGATATTTCCTTTTTCACCATAGGCCTCAAAGCGCTCGAAATGTCCGCTTCCAGGTAGTGCAGAAAGAGTGTTTCAAACCTGCTCTATGAAAGGAAGTGTTCAACTCTACTGAGTTGAATGCAAACATCACAGAGATGTTTCCGAGAATGCTTCTGTCTTGATTTTATATGAAGATATTCCGGTTTCCAACGAAATCTTCAAAGCTATCCAAATATCCACCTGCAGATTCTACAAAAGGAGTGTTTCCAAAATGCTGTATCAAAACAAAGGTTCAACTCTGTTAGTTGAGGACACACATCACAAATAAGTTTCTGAGAATGCTTCTGTCTAGTTTTTATTTGAAGGTATTTCCTTTCTCTCCATAGGCCTGAAAGCGCTTGAAATGCCCACTTCCAGATACTAGAGAAAGAGTGTTTCAAACCTGCTCTATGAAAGGGAATGTTCAATTCTGTGACTTGAATGCAAACATCACAAAGAAGTTCCTGAGAATGCTTCTCTCTAGATATTATATGTCATCCCGTTTCCAACGAAATCCTCAAAGCTATCCAAATATCCACTTGCAGATTCTACAAAAAGAGTGTTTCAAAACTGCTCTGTCAAAAGGATGGTTCAACACTGTTACATGAGTACACACAACACAAAGAAGTTTCTGAGAATGCTTCTTTCTGGTTTCTATGAGAAGATATTTCCTTTTTCACCATAGGACTCAAAGCGCTCGAAATGTCCTCTTCCAGGTAGTGCAGAAAGAGTGTTTCAAACCGGCTCTATGAAAGGAAGTGTTCAACTCCATGAACTGAATGCAAACATCACTGAGAAGTTTCTGAGAATGCTTCTGTTTGATTTTATATGAAGAAATTCCCGTTTCCAACGAAATCTTCAGAGCTATCCACATATCCACCTGCAGATTCTACAAAAGGAGTGTTTCCAAAATGCTGTATCAAAACCAAAGTTCAACTCTGTTAGTTGAGGACACACATCACAAATAAGTTTCTGAGAATGCTTCTGTCTAGATTCTATATGAAGATATCCCCTTTCCAACGAATCCCTCTAAGCTATCCAAATATCCACCTGCAGATTCTACAAAAAGAGTGTTTCCAAAATGCTGTATCAAAACAAAGTTTCAACTCTGTTAGTTGAGGACACACATCACAAATAAGTTTGAGGATGCTTCTGTCTAGTTTTTATTCGAAGATATTTCCTTTCTCACCATAGGCCTGAAAGCGCTTGAAATGTCCACTTCCAGATACTACAGAATGAGTGTTTCAAACCTGCTCTATCAAAGTGAATGTTCAATTCTGTGACTTCAATGCAAACATCACAAAGAAGTTCCTGAGAATGCTTCTCTCTAGATTTTATATGTAATCCCGCTTCCAACGAAATCCTCAGAGCCATCCGAATATCCACTTTCTGATTCCACAAAAAGAGTGTTTTAAAACGGCTCTGTAAAAACAAAAGTTCAACTCTGTTAGTTGAATACACACATCACAAACAAGTTTCTGAGAATGCTTCTGTCTAGTTTTTATGGGAAGATATTTCCTTTTTCACCATAGGCCTCAAAGCGCTCGAAATGTCCACTTCCAGATAGCGCAGAAAGAGTGTTTCAAACGTGCTCTATAAAAGGGAATATTCAACTCTGTGACTTGAATGGAAACATCACAAAGCAGTTTCTGAGAATGCTTCCCTCTAGATTTTATATGGAGATATTCCGTTTTCGAACGAAATCTTCAAATCTATCTAAATATCAACTTGCAGATTCTACTCAAGGAATGTTTCCAAAATGCTGTATGCAAGCAATGGTTCAACTCTGTTAATTGAGGTCATACAGCACAAAGAAGTTTCTGAGAATGCTTCTGTCTAGATTTTATATGAAGATATCCCGTTTCCAACGAAATCCTCAAAGCTATCCAAATATCCACTTGCAGATTCTACAAAAAGATTGTTTCAAAACTGCTGTGTCAAAAGGAAGGTTCAACTCTGTTACTTGAGTACACACATCAAAAAGAAGTTTCTGAGAATGCTTGTTTCTGGTTTTTATCAGAAGATATTTCCTTTTTCACCATAGGACTCAAAGCGCTGCAAATGTCCACTTCCAAATATTACAAAAAGAGTGTTTCAAACCTGCTCTATGAAAGGAAGTTTTCAACTCTATGAGTGGAATGCAAACAGCACAGAGAAGTTTCGGAGAATGCATCTGTCTTGAGTTTATATGAAGAAATTCCCGTTTCCAACGAAATCTTAAAATCTATCCAAATATCCACCTGCAGATTCTACAAAGGGAGTGTTTCCAAAATGCTGTATCAAAACAAAGGTTCAACTGTGTTCGTTTAGGACACACATCACCAATAAGTTTCTGAGAATCCTTCTGTCTAGTTTTTATTTGAAGATATTTCCTTTCTTCCCATAGGCCTGAAAGCGCTTGAAATGTCCACTTCCAGATACTACAGAAAGAGTGTTTCAAACCTGCACTATGAAAAGGAATGTTCAATTCTGTGACTTGAATGCAAACATCAGAAAGAAGTTCCTGAGAATGCTTCTCTCTAGATTTTATACGTAATCCCGTTTCCAACGAAATCCACAAAGCTATCCAATTATCCACTTTCAGATTCCACAAAAGGAGTGTTTTAAAACTGCTCTGTAAAAAGAAATGTTCAACGCTCTTAGTTGAATACACACATCTCAAACAAGTTTCTGAGAAGGCTTCCGTCTAGTTTTTATGGGAAGATATTTCCTTTTTCACCATAGGCCTCAAAGCGCTCGAAATCTCCACTTCCAGGGAGTGCAGAAAGAGTGTTTCAAACCTGCTCTGTAAAAGAATATTTAACTCTGTGACTTGAATGCAAACATCACAAAGCAGTTTCTGACAATGCTTCCGTCTAGATTTTTTATGAAGATATTCCCGTTTCCAACGAAATCTTCAAAGCTATCTAAATATCAACTTGCAGATTCTACTAAAGGAATGTTTCCAAAATGCTGTATCCAAACAAAGGTTCAACTCTGTGAATTGAGGACATACAGCACAAAGAAGTTTCTGAGAATGCTTCTGTCTAGATTTAATATGAAGATAACCCGTTTCCAACGAAATCCTCAAAGCTATCCAAATATCCACTTGCAGATTCTACAAAAAGAGTGTTTCAAAACTGCTCTGTCAAAAGGATGGTTCAACACTGTTACATGAGTACACACAACACAAAGAAGTTTCTGAGAACGCTTCTTTCTGGTTTTTATGAGAAGATATTTCCTTTTTCACCATAGGCCTCAAAGCGCTTGAAATGTCCACTTCCTCGTAGTGCAGAAAGAGTGTTTCAAAGCTGCTCTCTGAAAGGAAGTGTTCAACTCCATGAGCTGAATGCAAACATCACAGAGAAGTTTCTGAGAATGCTTCTCTTTGATTTTATATGAAGAAATTCCCGTTTCCAACGAAATCTTCAAAGCTATCCACATATCCACCTGCAGATTCTACAAAAGGAGTGTTTCCAAAATGCTGTATCAAAACCAAGGTTCAACTCTGTTAGTTGAGGACACACATCACAAATAAGATTCTGAGAATGCTTCTGTCTAGATTTTATATGAAGATATCCCCTTTCCAACGAATCCCTCTAAGCTATCCAAATATCCACCTGCAGATTCTACAAAAAGAGTGTTTCCAAAATGCTGTATCAAAACAAAGTTTCAACTCTGTTAGTTGAGGACACACATCACAAATAAGTTTCTGAGGATGCTTCTGTCTAGTTTTTATTTGAAGATATTTCCTTTCTCCCCATAGGCCTGAAAGCGCTTGAATTGTCCGCTTCCAGATACTACAGAATGAGTGTTTCAAACCTGCTCTATCAAAGTGAATGTTCAATTCTGTGACTTCAATGCAAACATCACAAAGTAGTTCCTGAGAATGCTTCTCTCTAGATTTTATATGTAATCCCGCTTCCAACGAAATCCTCAAAGCCATCCGAATATCCACTTTCTGATTCCACAAATGGATTGTCTTAAAACTGCTCTGTAAAAACAAAAGTTCAAGTCTGTTACTTGAATACACACATCACAAACAAGTTTCTGAGAATGCTTCTGTCTAGTTTTTATGGGAAGATATTTCCTTTTTCACCATAGGCCTCACAGCGCTCGAAATGTCCACTTCCAGATAGTGCAGAAAGAGTGTTTCAAACGTGCTCTATAAAAGGGAATATTCAACTCTGTGACTTGAATGGAAACATCACAAAGCAGTTTACTGAGAATGCTTCCGTCTAGGATTTTATATGAAGATATTCCCGTTTCCAACGAAATCTTCAAATCTATCTAAATATCAACTTGCAGATTCTACTAAAGGAATGTTTCCAAAATGCTGTATCCAAGCAATGGTTCAACTCTGTTAATTGAGGACATACAGCACAAAGAAGTTTCTGAGAATGCTTCTGTCTAGATTTTATATGAAGATATCCCGTTTCCAACGAAATCCTCAAAGCTATCCAAATATCCACTTGCAGATTCTACAAAAAGATTGTTTCAAAACTGCTGTGTCAAAAGGAAGGTTCAACTCTGTTACTTGAGTACACACATCAAAAAGCAGTTTCTGAGAATGCTTGTTTCTGGTTTTTATGAGAAGATATTTCCTTTTTCACCATAGGCCTCAAAGCGCTGCAAATGTCCACTTCCAAGTATTACAAAAAGAGTGTTTCAAACCTGCTCTATGAAAGGAAGTTTTCAACTCTGTGAGTGGAATGCAAACATCACAGAGAAGTTTCTGAGAATGCATCTGTCTTGAGTTTATATGAAGAAATTCCCGTTTCCAATGAAATCTTAAAATCTATCCAAATATCCACCTGCAGATTCTACAAAAGGAGTGCTTCCAAAATGCTATATCAAAACAAAGGTTCAACTGTGTTCGTTGAGAACACACATCACAAATAAGTTTCTGAGAATCCTTCTGTCTAGTTTTTATTTCAAGATATTTCCTTTCTCCCCATAGGCCTGAAAGCGCTTGAAATGTCGACTTCCAGATACTACAGAGTGTTTCAAACCTGCACTATGAAAACGAATGTTCAATTCTGTGACTTGAATGCAAACATCAGAAAGAAGTTCCTGAGAATGCTTCTCTCTAGATTTTAAACGTAATCCCGTTTCCAACGAAATCCACAAAGCTATCCAATTATCCACTTTCAGATTGCACCAAAAGACTGTTTTAAAACTGCTCTGTAAAAAGAAATGTTCAACGCTCTTAGTTGAATACACACATCTCAAGTTTCTGAGAAGGCTTCCGTCTAGTTTTTACGGGAAGATATTTCCTTTTTCACCATAGGCCTCAAAGCGCTCGAAATCTCCACTTCCAGGGAGTGCAGAAAGAGTGTTTCAAACCTGCTCTATAAAAGAATATTTAACTCTGTGACTTGAATGCAAACATCACAGAGCAGTTTCTGACAATGCTTCCGTCTAGATTTTTTATGAAGATATTCCCGTTTCCAACGAAATCTTCAAAGCTATGTAAATATCAACTTGCAGATTCTACTAAAGGAATGTTTCCAAAATGCTGTATCCAAACAAAGGTTCAACTCTGTGAATTGAGGACATACAGCACAAAGAAGTTTCTGAGAATGCTTCTGTCTAGATTTAATATGAAGATAACCCGTTTCCAACGAAATCCTCAAAGCTATCCAAATATCCACTGGCAGATTCTACAAAAAGAGTGTTTCAAAACTGCTCTGTCAAAAGGATGGTTCAACACTGTTACATGAGTACACACAACACAAAGAAGTTTCTGAGAACGCTTCTTTCTGGTTTTTATGAGAGGATATTTCCTTTTTCACCATAGGCCTCAAAGCGCTTGAAATGTCCACTTCCAGGTAGTGCAGAAAGAGTGTTTCAAACCTGCTCTATGAAAGGAAGTGTTCAACTCCATGAGCTGAATGCAAACATCACAGAGAAGTTCCTGAGAATGCTTCTGTTTGATTTTATATGAAGAAATTCCCGTTTCCAACGAAATCTTCAAAGCTATCCACATATCCACCTGCAGATTCTTCAAAAGGAGTGTTTCCAAAATGCTGTATCAAAACCAAGGTTCAACTCTGTTAGTTGAGGACACACATCACAAATAAGTTTCTGAGAATGCTTCTGTCTAGATTTTATATGAATTTATCCCCTTTCCAACGAATCCCTCTAAGCTATCCAAGTATCCACCTGCAGATTCTACAAAAAGAGTGTTTCCAAAATGCTGTATCAAAACAAAGTTTCAACTCTGTTAGTTGAGGACACACATCACAAATAAGTTTCTGAGGATGCTTCTGTCTAGTTTTAATTTGAAGATATTTCCTTTCTCCCCATAGGCCTGAAAGCGCTTGAAATGTCCACTTCCAGATACTACAGAATGAGTGTTTCAAACCTGCTCTATCAAAGTGAATGTTCAATTCTGTGACTTCAATGCAAACATCACAAAGTAGTTCCTGAGAATGCTTCTCTCTAGATTTTATATGTAATCCCGCTTCCAACGAAATCCTCAAAGCCATCCGAATATCCACTTTCTGATTCCACAAAAAGATTGTTTTAAAACTGCTCTGTAAAAACAAAAGTTCAAGTCTGTTAGTTGAATACACACATCACAAACAAGTTTCTGAGAATGCTTCTGTCTAGTTTTTATGGGAAGATATTTCCTTTTTCACCATAGGCCTCAAAGCGCTCGAAATGTCCACTTCCAGATAGTGCAGAAAGAGTGTTTCAAACGTGCTCTATAAAAGAGAATATTCAACTCTGTGACTTGAATGGAAACATCACAAAGCAGTTTCTGAGAATGCCTCCGTCTAGATTTTATATGAAGATATTCCCGTTTCCAACGAAATCTTCAAATCTATCTAAATATCAACTTGCAGATTCTACTAAAGGAATGTTTCCATAATGCTGTATCCAAGCAATGGTTCAACTCTGTTAATTGAGGACATACAGCACAAAGAAGTTTCTGAGAATGCTTCTGTCTAGATTTTATATGAAGATATCCCGTTTCCAACGAAATCCTCAAAGCTATCCAAATATCCACTTGCAGATTCTACAAAAAGATTGTTTCAAAACAGCTGTGTCAAAAGGAAGGTTCAACTCTGTTACTTGAGTACACACATCAAAAAGAAGTTTCTGAGAATGCTTGTTTCTGGTTTTTATGAGAAGATATTTCCTTTTTCACCATAGGCCTCAAAGCGCTGCAAATGTCCACTTCCAAATATTACAAAAAGAGTGTTTCAAACCTGCTCTATGAAAGGAAGTTTTCAACTCTATGAGTGGAATGAAAACATCACCGAGAAGTTTCGGAGAATGCATCTGTCTTGAGTTTATATGAAGAAATTCCCGTTTCCAACGAAATCTTAAAATCTATCCACATATCCACCTGCAGATTCTACAAAGGGAGTGTTTCCAAAATGCTGTATCAAAACAAAGGTTCAACTGTGTTCGTTGAGGACACACATCACCAATAAGTTTCTGAGAATCCTTCTGTCTAGTTTTTATTTGAAGATATTTCCTTTCTCCCCATAGGCCTGAAAGCGCTTGAAATGTCCACTTCCAGATACTACAGAAAGAGTGTTTCAAACCTGCACTATGAAAAGGAATGTTCAATTCTGTGACTTGAATGCAAACATCAGAAAGAAGTTCCTGAGAATGCTTCTCTCTAGATTTTATACGTCATCCCGTTTCCAACGAAATCCACAAAGCTATCCAATTATCCACTTTCAGATTCCACAAAAAGAGTGTTTTAAAACTGCTCTGTAAAAAGAAATGTTCAACGCTCTTACTTGAATACACACATCTCAAACAAGTTTCTGAGAAGGCTTCCGTCTAGTTTTTATGGGAAGATATTTCCTTTTTCACCATAGGCCTCAAAGCGCTCGAAATCTCCACTTCCAGGGAGTGCAGAAAGAGTGTTTCAAACCTGCTCTGTAAAAGAATATTTAACTCTGTGACTTGAATGCAAACATCACAAAGCAGTTTCTGACAATGCTTCCGTCTAGATTTTTTATGAAGATATTCCCGTTTCCAACGAAATCTTCAAAGCTATCTAAATATCAACTTGCAGATTCTACTAAAGGAATGTTTCCAAAATGCTGTATCCAAACAAAGGTTCAACTCTGTGAATTGAGGACATACAGCACAAAGAAGTTTCTGAGAATGCTTCTGTCTAGTATTTAATATGAAGATAACCCGTTTCCAACGAAATCCTCAAAGCTATCCAAATATCCACTTGCAGATTCTACAAAAAGAGTGTTTCAAAACTGCTCTGTCAAAAGGATGGTTCAACACTGTTACATGAGTACACACAACACAAAGAAGTTTCTGAGAACGCTTCTTTCTGGTTTTTATGAGAAGACATTTCCTTTTTCACCATAGGCCTCAAAGCGCTCGAAATGTCCACTTCCTGGTAGTGCAGAAAGAGTGTTTCAAAGCTGCTCTATGAAAGGAAGTGTTCAACTCCATGAGCTCAATGCAAACATCACAGAGAAGTTTCTGAGAATGCTTCTCTTTGATTTTATATGAAGAAATTCCCGTTTCCAACGAAATCTTCAAACCTATCCACATATCCACCTGCAGATTCTACAAAAGGAGTGTTTCCAAAATGCTGTATCAAAACCAAGGTTCAACTCTGTTAGTTGAGGACACACATCACAAATAAGTTTCTGAGAATGCTTCTGTCTAGCATTTTATATGAAGATATCCCCTTTCCAACGAATCCCTCTAAGCTATCCAAATATCCACCTGCAGATTCTACAAAAAGAGTGTTTCCAAAATGCTGTATCAAAACAAAGTTTCAACTCTGTTAGTTGAGGACACACATCACAAATAAGTTTCTGAGGATGCTTCTGTCTAGTTTTTATTCGAAGATATTTCCTTTCTCACCATAGGCCTGAAAGCGCTTGAAATGTCCACTTCCAGATACTACAGAATGAGTGTTTCAAACCTGCTCTATCAAAGTGAATGTTCAATTCTGTGACTTCAATGCAAACATCAGAAAGAAGTTCCTGAGAATGCTTCTCTCTAGATTTTATACGTAATCCCGCTTCCAACGAAATCCTCAGAGCCATCCGAATATCCACTTTCTGATTCCACAAAAAGAGTGTTTTAAAACGGCTCTGTAAAAACAAAAGTTCAACTCTGTTAGTTGAATACACACATCACAAACAAGTTTCTGAGAATGCTTCTGTCTAGTTTTTATGGGAAGATATTTCCTTTTTCACCATAGGCCTCAAAGCGCTCGAAATGTCCGCTTCCAGATAGTGCAGAAAGAGTGTTTCAAACGTGCTCTATAAAAGGGAATATTCAACTCTGTGACTTGAATGGAAACATCACAAAGCAGTTTCTGAGAATGCTTCCCTCTAGATTTTATATGGAGATATTCCCTTTTCCAACGAAATCTTCAAATCTATCTAAATATCAACTTGCAGATTCTACTCAAGGAATGTTTCCAAAATGCTGTATCCAGGCAATGGTTCAACTCTGTTAATTGAGGACATACAGCACAAAGAAGTTTCTGAGAATGCTTCTGTCTAGATTTTATATGAAGATATCCCGTTTCCAACGAAATCCTCAAAGCTATCCAAATATCCACTTGCAGATTCTACAAAAAGATTGTTTCAAAACTGCTGTGTCAAAAGGAAGGTTCAACTCTGTTACTTGAGTACACACATCAAAAAGAAGTTTCTGAGAATGCTTGTTTCTGGTTTTTATCAGAAGATATTTCCTTTTTCACCATAGGACTCAAAGCGCTGCAAATGTCCACTTCCAAATATTACAAAAAGAGTGTTTCAAACCTGCTCTATGAAAGGAAGTTTTCAACTCTATGAGTGGAATGCAAACAGCACAGAGAAGTTTCGGAGAATGCATCTGTCTTGAGTTTATATGAAGAAATTCCCGTTTCCAACGAAATCTTAAAATCTATCCAAATATCCACCTGCAGATTCTACAAAGGGAGTGTTTCCAAAATGCTGTATCAAAACAAAGGTTCAACTGTGTTCGTTTAGGACACACATCACCAATAAGTTTCTGAGAATCCTTCTGTCTAGTTTTTATTTGAAGATATTTCCTTTCTCCCCATAGGCCTGAAAGCGCTTGAAATGTCCACTTCCAGATACTACAGAAAGAGTGTTTCAAACCTGCACTGTGAAAAGGAATGTTCAATTCTGTGACTTGAATGCAAACATCAGAAAGAAGTTCCTGAGAATGCTTCTCTCTAGATTTTATACGTCATCCCATTTCCAACGAAATCCACAAAGCTATCCAATTATCCACTTTCAGATTCCACAAAAAGAGTGTTTTAAAATTGCTCTGTAACAGAAATGTTCAACTCTGGTAGTTGAATACACACATCACAAACAAGTTTCTGAGACGGCTTCTGTCTAGTTTTTATGGGAAGATATTTCCTTTTAACCATAGGCCTCAAAGAGCTCGAAATATCCACTTCCAGGTAGTGCCGAAAGAGTGTTTCAAACCTACTCTATAAAAGGGAATATTCAACTCTGTGACTTGAATGCAAACATCACAAAGCAGTTTCTGAGAATGCTTCCGTCTAGATTTTCTATGAAGATATTCCCGTTTCCAACGAAATCTTCAAAGCTATCTAAATATCAACTTGCAGATTCTACTAAAGGAATGTCTCCAAAATGCTGTATCCAAACAAAGGTTCAGCTCTGTGAATTGAGGACATACAGCACAAAGAAGTTTCTGAGAATGCTCCTGTCTGGATTTTATAGGAAGATAACCCGTTTCCAACGAAATCCTCAAAGCTATCCAAATATCCACTTGCAGATTCTACCAAAAGAGTGTTTCAAAACTGCTCTGTCAAAAGGAAGGTTCAACACTGTTACTTGAGTACACACAACACAAAGAAGTTTCTGAGAATGCTTCTTTCTGGTTTTTATGAGAAGATATTTCCTTTTTCACCATAGGCCTCAAAGCGCTCGAAATGTCCACTTCCAGGTAGTGCAGAAAGAGTGTTTCAAACCTGCTCTATGAAAGGAAGTGTTCAACTCTACTGAGTTGAATGCAAACATCACAGAGATGTTTCCGAGAATGCTTCTGTCTTGATTTTATATGAAGATATTCCGGTTTCCAACGAAATCTTCAAAGCTATCCAAATATCCACCTGCAGATTCTACAAAAGGAGTGTTTCCAAAATGCTGTATCAAAACAAAGGTTCAACTCTGTTAGTTGAGGACACACATCACAAATAAGTTTCTGAGAATGCTTCTGTCTAGTTTTTATTTGAAGGTATTTCCTTTCTCTCCATAGGCCTGAAAGCGCTTGAAATGCCCACTTCCAGATACTAGAGAAAGAGTGTTTCAAACCTGCTCTATGAAAGGGAATGTTCAATTCTGTGACTTGAATGCAAACATCACAAAGAAGTTCCTGAGAATGCTTCTGTCTAGATTTAATATGAAGATAACCCGTTTCCAACGAAATCCTCAAAGCTATCCAAATATCCACTTGCAGATTCTACAAAAAGAGTGTTTCAAATCTGCTCTGTCAAAAGGATGGTTCAACACTGTTACATGAGTACACACAACACAAAGAAGTTTCTGAGAACGCTTCTTTCTGGTTTTTATGAGAGGATATTTCCTTTTTCACCATAGGCCTCAAAGCGCTCGAAATGTCCACTTCCAGGTAGTGCAGAAAGAGTGTTTCAAACCTGCTCTATGAAAGGAAGTGTTCAACTCCATGAGCTGAATGCAAACATCACAGAGAAGTTCCTGAGAATGCTTCTGTTTGATTTTATATGAAGAAATTCCCGTTTCCAACGAAATCTTCAAAGCTATCCACATATCCACCTGCAGATTCTTCAAAAGGAGTGTTTCCAAAATGCTGTATCAAAACCAAGGTTCAACTCTGTTAGTTGAGGACACACATCACAAATAAGTTTCTGAGAATGCTTCTGTCTAGATTTTATATGAATTTATCCCCTTTCCAACGAATCCCTCTAAGCTATCCAAGTATCCACCTGCAGATTCTACAAAAAGAGTGTTTCCAAAATGCTGTATCAAAACAAAGTTTCAACTCTGTTAGTTGAGGACACACATCACAAATAAGTTTCTGAGGATGCTTCTCTCTAGTTTTAATTTGAAGATATTTCCTTTCTCCCCATAGGCCTGAAAGCGCTTGAAATGTCCACTTCCAGATACTACAGAATGAGTGTTTCAAACCTGCTCTATCAAAGTGAATGTTCAATTCTGTGACTTCAATGCAAACATCACAAAGTAGTTCCTGAGAATGCTTCTCTCTAGATTTTATATGTAATCCCGCTTCCAACGAAATCCTCAAAGCCATCCGAATATCCACTTTCTGATTCCACAAAAAGATTGTTTTAAAACTGCTCTGTAAAAACAAAAGTTCAAGTCTGTTAGTTGAATACACACATCACAAACAAGTTTCTGAGAATGCTTCTGTCTAGTTTTTATGGGAAGATATTTCCTTTTTCACCATAGGCCTCAAAGCGCTCGAAATGTCCACTTCCAGATAGTGCCGAAAGAGTGTTTCAAACGTGCTCTATAAAAGAGAATATTCAACTCTGTGACTTGAATGGAAACATCACAAAGCAGTTTCTGAGAATGCCTCCGTCTAGATTTTATATGAAGATATTCCCGTTTCCAACGAAATCTTCAAAGCTATCTAAATATCAACTTGCAGATTCTACTAAAGGAATGTTTCCAAAATGCTGTATCCAAGCAATGGTTCAACTCTGTTAATTGAGGACATACAGCACAAAGAAGTTTCTGAGAATGCTTCTGTCTAGATTTTATATGAAGATATCCCGTTTCCAACGAAATCCTCAAAGCTATCCAAATATCCACTTGCAGATTCTACAAAAAGATTGTTTCAAAACTGCTGTGTCAAAAGGAAGGTTCAACTCTGTTACTTGAGTACACACATCAAAAAGCAGTTTCTGAGAATGCTTGTTTCTGTTTTTTATGAGAAGATATTTCCTTTTTCACCATAGGCCTCAAAGCGCTGCAAATGTCCACTTCCAAATATTACAAAAAGAGTGTTTCAAACCTGCTCTATGAAAGGAAGTTTTCAACTCTGTGAGTTGAATGCAAACATCACAGAGAAGTTTCTGAGAATGCATCTGTCTTGAGTTTATATGAAGAAATTCCCGTTTCCAATGAAATCTTAAAATCTATCCAAATATCCACCTGCAGATTCTACAAAAGGAGTGTTTCCAAAATGCTGTATCAAAACAAAGGTTCAACTGTGTTCGTTTAGGACACACATCACAAATAAGTTTCTGAGAATCCTTCTGTCTAGTTTTTATTTGAAGATATTTCCTTTCTCCCCGTAGGCCTGAAAGCGCTTGAAATGTCCACTTCCAGATACTACAGAAAGAGTGTGTTTCAAACCTGCACTCTGAAAAGGAATGTTCAATTCTGTGACTTGAATGCAAACATCAGAAAGAAGTTCCTGAGAATGCTTCTCTCTAGATTTTATACGTCATCCCGTTTCTAACGAAATCCACAAAGCTACCCAAATATCCACTTTCAGATTCCACAAAAAGAGTGTTTTAAAATTGCTCTGTAACAGAAATGTTCAACTCTGTTAGTTGAATACACACATCACAAACAAGTTTCTGAGACGGCTTCTGTCTAGTTTTTATGGGAAGATATTTCCTTTTAACCATAGGCCTCAAAGAGCTCGAAATATCCACTTCCAGGTAGTGCCGAAAGAGTGTTTCAAACCTACTCTATAAAAGGGAATATTCAACTCTGTGACTTGAATGCAAACATCACAAAGCAGTTTCTGAGAATGCTTCCGTCTAGATTTTCTATGAAGATATTCCCGTTTCCGACGAAATCTTCAAAGCTATCTAAATATCAACTTGCAGATTCTACTAAAGGAATGTCTCCAAAATGCTGTATCCAAACAAAGGTGCAGCTCTGTGAATTGAGGACATACAGCACAAAGAAGTTTCTGAGAATGCTCCTGTCTGGATTTTATATGAAGATAACCCGTTTCCAACGAATTCCTCAAAGCTCTCCAAATATCCACTTGCAGATTCTACCAAAAGAGTGTTTCAAAACTACTCTGTCAAAAGGAAGGTTCAACACTGTTACTTGAGTACACACAACACAAAGAAGTTTCTGAGAATGCTTCTTTCTGGTTTTTATGAGAAGATATTTCCTTTTTCACCATAGGCCTCAAAGCGCTCGAAATGTCCGCTTCCAGGTAGTGCAGAAAGAGTGTTTCAAACCTGCTCTATGAAAGGAAGTGTTCAACCCTACTGAGTTGAATGCAAACATCACAGAGATGTTTCCGAGAATGCTTCTGTCTTGATTTTATATGAAGATATTCCGGTTTCCAACGAAATCTTCAAAGCTATCCAAATATCCACCTGCAGATTCTACAAAAGGAGTGTTTCCAAAATGCTGTATCAAAACAAAGGTTCAACTCTGTTAGTTGAGGACACACATCACAAATAAGTTTCTGAGAATGCTTCTGTCTAGTTTTTATTTGAAGGTATTTCCTTTCTCTCCATAGGCCTGAAAGCGCTTGAAATGCCCACTTCCAGATACTAGAGAAAGAGTGTTTCAAACCTGCTCTATGAAAGGGAATGTTCAATTCTGTGACTTGAATGCAAACATCACAAAGAAGTTCCTGAGGATGCTTCTCTCTAGATATTATATGTCATCCCGTTTCCAACGAAATCCTCAAAGCTATCCAAATATCCACTTGCAGATTCTACAAAAAGAGTGTTTCAAAACTGCTCTGTCAAAAGGATGGTTCAACACTGTTACATGAGTACACACAACACAAAGAAGTTTCTGAGAATGCTTCTTTCTGGTTTCTATGAGAAGATATTTCCTTTTTCACCATAGGACTCAAAGCGCTCGAAATGTCCTCTTCCAGGTAGTGCAGAAAGAGTGTTTCAAACCGGCTCTATGAAGGGAAGTGTTCAACTCCATGAACTGAATGCAAACATCACTGAGAAGTTTGTGAGAATGCTTCTGTTTGATTTTATATGAAGAAATTCCCGTTTCCAACGAAATCTTCAGAGCTATCCACATATCCACCTGCAGATTCTACAAAAGGAGTGTTTCCAAAATGCTGTATCAAAACCAAGGTTCAACTCTGTTAGTTGAGGACACACATCACAAATAAGTTTCTGAGAATGCTTCTGTCTAGATTTTATATGAAGATATCCCCTTTCCAACGAATCCCTCTAAGCTATCCAAATATCCACCTGCAGATTCTACAAAAAGAGTGTTTCCAAAATGCTGTATCAAAACAAAGTTTCAACTCTGTTAGTTGAGGACACACATCACAAATAAGTTTCTGAGGATGCTTCTGTCTAGTTTTTATTCGAAGATATTTCCTTTCTCACCATAGGCCTGAAAGCGCTTGAAATGTCCACTTCCAGATACTACAGAATGAGTGTTTCAAACCTGCTCTATCAAAGTGAATGTTCAATTCCGTGACTTCAATGCAAACATCACAAAGAAGTTCCTGAGAATGCTTCTCTCTAGATTTTATACGTAATCCCGCTTCCAACGAAATCCTCAGAGCCATCCGAATATCCACTTTCTGATTCCACAAAAAGAGTGTTTTAAAACGGCTCTGTAAAAACAAAAGTTCAACTCTGTTAGTTGAATACACACATCACAAACAAGTTTCTGAGAATGCTTTCTGTCTAGTTTTTATGGGAAGATATTTCCTTTTTCACCATAGGCCTCAAAGCGCTCGAAATGTCCGCTTCCAGATAGTGCAGAAAGAGTGTTTCAAACGTGCTCTATAAAAGGGAATATTCAACTCTGTGACTTGAATGGAAACATCACAAAGCAGTTTCTGAGAATGCTTCCCTCTAGATTTTATATGGAGATATTCCCTTTTCCAACGAAATCTTCAAATCTATCTAAATATCAACTTGCAGATTCTACTCAAGGAATGTTTCCAAAATGCTGTATCCAGGCAATGGTTCAACTCTGTTAATTGAGGAAATACAGCACAAAGAAGTTTCTGAGAATGCTTCTGTCTAGATTTTATATGAAGATATCCCGTTTCCAACGAAATCCTCAAAGCTATCCAAATATCCACTTGCAGATTCTACAAAAAGATTGTTTCAAAACTGCTGTGTCAAGAGGAAGGTTCAACTCTGTTACTTGAGTACACACATCAAAAAGAAGTTTCTGAGAATGCTTGTTTCTGGTTTTTATGAGAAGATATTTCCTTTTTCACCATAGGCCTCAAAGCGCTGCAAATGTCCACTTCCAAATATTACAAAAAGAGTGTTTCAAACCTGCTCTATGAAAGGAAGTTTTCAACTCTATGAGTGGAATGCAAACATCACAGAGAAGTTTCTGAGAATGCATCTGTCTTGAGCTTCTATGAAGAAATTCCCGTTTCCAACGAAATCTTAAAATCTATCCAAATATCCACCTGCAGATCCTACAAAAGGAGTGTTTCCAAAATGCTGTATCAAAACAAAGGTTCAACTGTGTTCGTTTAGGACACACATCACAAATAAGTTTCTGAGAATCCTTCTGTCTAGTTTTTATTTGAAGATATTTCCTTTCTCCCCACAGGCCTGAAAGCGCTTGAAATGTCCACTTCCAGATACTACAGAAAGAGTGTTTCAAACCTGCACTATGAAAAGGAATGTTCAATTCTGTGACTTGAATGCAAACATCAGAAAGAAGTTCCTGAGAATGCTTCTCTCTAGATTTTATACGTCATCCCGTTTCCAACGAAATCCACAAAGCTATCCAATTATCCACTTTCAGATTCCACAAAAAGAGTGTTTTAAATTGCTCTGTAACAGAAATGTTCAACTCTGTTAGTTGAATACACACATCACAAACAAGTTTCTGAGACGGCTTCTGTCTAGTTTTTATGGGAAGATATTTCCTTTTAACCATAGGCCTCAAAGAGCTCGAAATATCCACTTCCAGGTAGTGCCGAAAGAGTGTTTCAAACCTACTCTATAAAAGGGAATATTCAACTCTGTGACTTGAATGCAAACATCACAAAGCAGTTTCTGAGAATGCTTCCGTCTAGATTTTCTATGAAGATATTCCCGTTTCCAACGAAATCTTCAAAGCTATCTAAATATCAACTTGCAGATTCTACTAAAGGAATGTCTCCAAAATGCTGTATCCAAACAAAGGTTCAGCTCTGTGAATTGAGGACATACAGCACAAAGAAGTTTCTGAGAATGCTCCTGTCTGGATTTTATAGGAAGATAACCCGTTTCCAACGAAATCCTCAAAGCTATCCAAATATCCACTTGCAGATTCTACCAAAAGAGTGTTTCAAAACTGCTCTGTCAAAAGGAAGGTTCAACACTGTTACTTGAGTACACACAACACAAAGAAGTTTCTGAGAATGCTTCTTTCTGGTTTTTATGAGAAGATATTTCCTTTTTCACCATAGGCCTCAAAGCGCTCGAAATGTCCGCTTCCAGGTAGGGCAGAAAGAGTGTTTCAAACCTGCTCTATGAAAGGAAGTGTTCAACTCTACTGAGTTGAATGCAAACATCACAGAGATGTTTCCGAGAATGCTTCTGTCTTGATTTTATAGGAAGATATTCCGGTTTCCAACGAAATCTTCAAAGCTATCCACATATCCACCTGCAGATTCTACAAAAGGAGTGTTTCCAAAATGCTGTATCAAAACAAAGGTTCAACTCTGTTAGTTGAGGACACACATCACAAATAAGTTTCTGAGAATGCTTCTGTCTAGTTTTTATTTGAAGGTATTTCCTTTCTCTCCATAGGCCTGAAAGCGCTTGAAATGCCCACTTCCAGATACTAGAGAAAGAGTGTTTCAAACCTGCTCTATGAAAGGGAATGTTCAATTCTGTGACTTGAATGCAAACATCACAAAGAAGTTCCTGAGAATGCTTCTCTCTAGATATTATATGTCATCCCGTTTCCAACGAAATCCTCAAAGCTATCCAAATATCCACTTGCAGATTCTACAAAAAGAGTGTTTCAAAACTGCTCTGTCAAAAGGATGGTTCAACACTGTTACATGAGTACACACAACACAAAGAAGTTTCTGAGAATGCTTCTTTCTGGTTTCTATGAGAAGATATTTCCTTTTTCACCATAGGACTCAAAGCGCTCGAAATGTCCTCTTCCAGGTAGTGCAGAAAGAGTGTTTCAAACCGGCTCTATGAAAGGAAGTGTTCAACTCCATGAACTGAATGCAAACATCACTGAGAAGTTTCTGAGAATGCTTCTGTTTGATTTTATATGAAGAAATTCCCGTTTCCAACGAAATCTTCAGAGCTATCCACATATCCACCTGCAGATTCTACAAAAGGAGTGTTTCCAAAATGCTGTATCAAAACCAAAGTTCAACTCTGTTAGTTGAGGACACACATCACAAATAAGTTTCTGAGAATGCTTCTGTCTAGATTCTATATGAAGATATCCCCTTTCCAACGAATCCCTCTAAGCTATCCAAATATCCACCTGCAGATTCTACAAAAAGAGTGTTTCCAAAATGCTGTATCAAAACAAAGTTTCAACTCTGTTAGTTGAGGACACACATCACAAATAAGTTTGAGGATGCTTCTGTCTAGTTTTTATTCGAAGGATATTTCCTTTCTCACCATAGGCCTGAAAGCGCTTGAAATGTCCACTTCCAGATACTACAGAATGAGTGTTTCAAACCTGCTCTATCAAAGTGAATGTTCAATTCTGTGACTTCAATGCAAACATCACAAAGAAGTTCCTGAGAATGCTTCTCTCTAGATTTTATACGTAATCCCGCTTCCAACGAAATCCTCAGAGCCATCCGAATATCCACTTTCTGATTCCACAAAAAGAGTGTTTTAAAACGGCTCTGTAAAAACAAAAGTTCAACTCTGTTAGTTGAATACACACATCACAAACAAGTTTCTGAGAATGCTTCTGTCTAGTTTTTATGGGAAGATATTTCCTTTTTCACCATAGGCCTCAAAGCGCTCGAAATGTCCGCTTCCAGATAGTGCAGAAAGAGTGTTTCAAACGTGCTCTATAAAAGGGAATATTCAACTCTGTGACTTGAATGGAAACATCACAAAGCAGTTTCTGAGAATGCTTCCCTCTAGATTTTATATGGAGATATTCCCTTTTCCAACGAAATCTTCAAATCTATCTAAATATCAACTTGCAGATTCTACTCAAGGAATGTTTCCAAAATGCTGTATCCAGGCAATGGTTCAACTCTGTTAATTGAGGACATACAGCACAAAGAAGTTTCTGAGAATGCTTCTGTCTAGATTTTATATGAAGATATCCCGTTTCCAACGAAATCCTCAAAGCTATCCAAATATCCACTTGCAGATTCTACAAAAAGATTGTTTCAAAACTGCTGTGTCAAGAGGAAGGTTCAACTCTGTTACTTGAGTACACACATCAAAAAGAAGTTTCTGAGAATGCTTGTTTCTGGTTTTTATGAGAAGATATTTCCTTTTTCACCATAGGCCTCAAAGCGCTGCAAATGTCCACTTCCAAATATTACAAAAAGAGTGTTTCAAACCTGCTCTATGAAAGGAAGTTTTCAACTCTATGAGTGGAATGCAAACATCACAGAGAAGTTTCTGAGAATGCATCTGTCTTGAGCTTCTATGAAGAAATTCCCGTTTCCAACGAAATCTTAAAATCTATCCAAATATCCACCTGCAGATCCTACAAAAGGAGTGTTTCCAAAATGCTGTATCAAAACAAAGGTTCAACTGTGTTCGTTTAGGACACACATCACAAATAAGTTTCTGAGAATCCTTCTGTCTAGTTTTTATTTGAAGATATTTCCTTTCTCCCCGTAGGCCTGAAAGCGCTTGAAATGTCCACTTCCAGATACTACAGAAAGAGTGTTTCAAACCTGCACTCTGAAAAGGAATGTTCAATTCTGTGACTTGAATGCAAACATCAGAAAGAAGTTCCTGAGAATGCTTCTCTCTAGATTTTATACGTCATCCCGTTTCCAACGAAATCCACAAAGCTATCCAATTATCCACTTTCAGATTCCACAAAGAGTGTTTTAAAATTGCTCTGTAACAGAAATGTTCAACTCTGTTAGTTGAATACACACATCACAAACAAGTTTCTGAGACGGCTTCTGTCTAGTTTTTATGGGAAGATATTTCCTTTTAACCATAGGCCTCAAAGAGCTCGAAATATCCACTTCCAGGTAGTGCCGAAAGAGTGTTTCAAACCTACTCTATAAAAGGGAATATTCAACTCTGTGACTTGAATGCAAACATCACAAAGCAGTTTCTGAGAATGCTTCCGTCTAGATTTTTTATGAAGATATTCCCGTTTCCAACGAAATCTTCAAAGCTATCTAAATATCAACTTGCAGATTCTACTAAAGGAATGTTTCCAAAATGCTGTATCCAAGCAATGGTTCAACTCTGTTAATTGAGGACATACAGCACAAAGAATTTTCTGAGAATGCTTCCTGTCTGGATTTTATATGAAGATAACCCGTTTCCAACGAAATCCTCAAAGCTATCCAAATATCCACTTGCAGATTCTACCAAAAGAGTGTTTCAAAACTGCTCTGTCAAAAGGAAGGTTCAACACTGTTACTTGAGTACACACAACACAAAGAAGTTTCTGAGAATGCTTCTTTCTGGTTTTTATGAGAAGATATTTCCTTTTTCACCATAGGCCTCAAAGCGCTCGAAATGTCCGCTTCCAGGTAGTGCAGAAAGAGTGTTTCAAACCTGCTCTATGAAAGGAAGTGTTCAACTCTACTGAGTTGAATGCAAACATCACAGAGATGTTTCCGAGAATGCTTCTGTCTTGATTTTATATGAAGATATTCCGGTTTCCAACGAAATCTTCAAAGCTATCCAAATATCCACCTGCAGATTCTACAAAAGGAGTGTTTCCAAAATGCTGTATCAAAACAAAGGTTCAACTCTGTTAGTTGAGGACACACATCACAAATAAGTTTCTGAGAATGCTTCTGTCTAGTTTTTATTTGAAGGTATTTCCTTTCTCTCCATAGGCCTGAAAGCGCTTGAAATGCCCACTTCCAGATACTAGAGAAAGAGTGTTTCAAACCTGCTCTATGAAAGGGAATGTTCAATTCTGTGACTTGAATGCAAACATCACAAAGAAGTTCCTGAGAATGCTTCTCTCTAGATATTATATGTCATCCCGTTTCCAACGAAATCCTCAAAGCTATCCAAATATCCACTTGCAGATTCTACAAAAAGAGTGTTTCAAAACTGCTCTGTCAAAAGGATGGTTCAACACTGTTACATGAGTACACACAACACAAAGAAGTTTCTGAGAATGCTTCTTTCTGGTTTCTATGAGAAGATATTTCCTTTTTCACCATAGGACTCAAAGCGCTCGAAATGTCCTCTTCCAGGTAGTGCAGAAAGAGTGTTTCAAACCGGCTCTATGAAGGGAAGTGTTCAACTGCATGAACTGAATGCAAACATCACTGAGAAGTTTCTGAGAATGCTTCTGTTTGATTTTATATGAAGAAATTCCCGTTTCCAACGAAATCTTCAGAGCTATCCACATATCCACCTGCAGATTCTACAAAAGGAGTGTTTCCAAAATGCTGTATCAAAACCAAGGTTCAACTCTGTTAGTTGAGGACACACATCACAAATAAGTTTCTGAGAATGCTTCTGTCTAGATTTTATATGAAGATATCCCCTTTCCAACGAATCCCTCTAAGCTATCAAAATATCCACCTGCAGATTCTACAAAAAGAGTGTTTCCAAAATGCTGTATCAAAACAAAGTTTCAACTCTGTTAGTTGAGGACACACATCACAAATAAGTTTCTGAGGATGCTTCTGTCTAGTTTTTATTCGAAGATATTTCCTTTCTCACCATAGGCCTGAAAGCGCTTGAAATGTCCACTTCCAGATCCTACAGAATGAGTGTTTCAAACCTGCTCTATCAAAGTGAATGTTCAATTCTGTGACTTCAATGCAAACATCACAAAGAAGTTCCTGAGAATGCTTCTCTCTAGATTTTATATGTAATCCCGCTTCCAACGAAATCCTCAGAGCCATCCGAATATCCACTTTCTGATTCCACAAAAAGAGTGTTTTAAAACGGCTCTGTAAAAACAAAAGTTCAACTCTGTTAGTTGAATACACACATCACAAACAAGTTTCTGAGAATGCTTCTGTCTAGTTTTTATGGGAAGATATTTCCTTTTTCACCATAGGCCTCAAAGCGCTCGAAATGTCCACTTCCAGATAGTGCAGAAAGAGTGTTTCAAACGTGCTCTATAAAAGGGAATATTCAACTCTGTGACTTGAATGGAAACATCACAAAGCAGTTTCTGAGAATGCTTCCCTCTAGATTTTATATGGAGATATTCCCTTTTCCAACGAAATCTTCAAATCTATCTAAGTATCAACTTGCAGATTCTACTCAAGGAATGTTTCCAAAATGCTGTATCCAAGCAATGGTTCAACTCTGTTAATTGAGGACATACAGCACAAAGAAGTTTCTGAGAATGCTTCTGTCTAGATTTTATATGAAGATATCCCGTTTCCAACGAAATCATCAAAGCTATCCAAATATCCACTTGCAGATTCTACAAAAAGATTGTTTCAAAACTGCTGTGTCAAAAGGAAGGTTCAACTCTGTTATTTGAGTACACACATCAAAAAGAAGTTTCTGAGAATGCTTGTTTCTGGTTTTTATGAGAAGATATTTCCTTTTTCACCATAGGCCTCAAAGCGCTGCAAAGGTCCACTTCCAAATATTACAAAAAGAGTGTTTCAAACCTGCTCTATGAAAGGAAGTTTTCAACTCTTTGAGTGGAATGCAAACATCACAGAGAAGTTTCTGAGAATGCATCTGTCTTGAGTTTCTATGCAGAAATTCCCGTTTCCAATGAAATCTTAAAATCTATCCAAATATCCACCTGCAGATCCTACAAAAGGAGTGTTTCCAAAATGCTGTATCAAAACAAAGGTTCAACTGTGTTCGCTTAGGACACACATCACAAATAAGTTTCTGAGAATCCTTCTGTCTAGTTTTTATTTGAAGATATTTCCTTTCTCCCCATAGGCCTGAAAGCGCTTGAAATGTCCACTTCCAGAAACTACAGAAAGAGTGTTTCAAACCTGCACTCTGAAAAGGAATGTCAATTCTGTGACTTGAATGCAAACATCAGAAAGAAGTTCCTGAGAATGCTTCTCTCTAGATTTTATACGTCATCCCGTTTCCAACGAAATCCACAAAGCTACCCAATTATCCACTTTCAGATTCCACAAAAAGAGTGTTTTAAAATTGCTCTGTAACAGAAATGTTCAACTCCGTTAGTTGAATACACACATCACAAACAAGTTTCTGAGACGGCTTCTGTCTAGTTTTTATGGGAAGATATTTCCTTTTAACCATAGGCCTCAAAGAGCTCGAAATATCCACTTCCAGGTAGTGCCGAAAGAGTGTTTCAAACCTACTCTATAAAAGGGAATATTCAACTCTGTGACTTGAATGCAAACATCACAAAGCAGTTTCTGAGAATGCTTCCGTCTAGATTTTCTATGAAGATATTCCCGTTTCCAACGAAATCTTCAAAGCTATCTAAATATCAACTTGCAGATTCTACTAAAGGAATGTCTCCAAAATGCTGTATCCAAACAAAGGTTCAGCTCTGTGAATTGAGGACATACAGCACAAAGAAGTTTCTGAGAATGCTCCTGTCTGGATTTTATATGAAGATAACCCGTTTCCAATGAAATCCTCAAAGCTCTCCAAATATCCACTTGCAGATTCTACCAAAAGAGTGTTTCAAAACTGCTCTGTCAAAAGGAAGGTTCAACACAGTTACATGAGTACACACAACACAAAGAAGTTTCTGAGAATGCTTCTTTCTGGTTTTTATGAGAAGATATTTCCTTTTTCACCATAGGCCTCAAAGCGCTCGAAATGTCCGCTTCCAGGTAGTGCAGAAAGAGTGTTTCAAACCTGCTCTATGAAAGGAAGTGTTCAACTCTACTGAGTTGAATGCAAACATCACAGAGATGTTTCCGAGAATGCTTCTGTCTTGATTTTATATGAAGCATATTCCGGTTTCCAACGAAATCTTCAAAGCTATCCAAATATCCACCTGCAGATTCTACAAAAGGAGTGTTTCCAAAATGCTGTATCAAAACAAAGGTTCAACTCTGTTAGTTGAGGACACACATCACAAATAAGTTTCTGAGAATGCTTCTGTCTAGATTTTATATGAAGATATCCCCTTTCCAACGAATCCCTCTAAGCTATCCAAATATCCACCTGCAGATTCTACAAAAAGAGTGTTTCCAAAATGCTGTATCAAAACAAAGTTTTAACTCTGTTAGTTGAGGACACACATCACAAATAAGTTTCTGAGGATGCTTCTGTCTAGTTTTTATTCGAAGATATTTCCTTTCCCACCATAGGCCTGAAAGCGCTTGAAATGTCCACTTCCAGATACTACAGAATGAGTGTTTCAAACCTGCTCTATCAAAGTGAATGTTCAATTCTGTGACTTCAATGCAAACATCACAAAGAAGTTCCTGAGAATGCTTCTCTCTAGATTTTATATGTAATCCCGCTTCCAACGAAATCCTCAGAGCCATCCGAATATCCACTTTCTGATTCCACAAAAAGAGTGTTTTAAAACGGCTCTGTAAAAACAAAAGTTCAACTCTGTTAGTTGAATACACACATCACAAACAAGTTTCTGAGAATGCTTCTGTCTAGTTTTTATGGGAAGATATTTCCTTTTTCACCATAGGCCTCAAAGCGCTCGAAATGTCCACTTCCAGATAGTGCAGAAAGATTGTTTCAAACGTGCTCTATAAAAGGGAATATTCAACTCTGTGACTTGAATGGAAACATCATAAAGCAGTTTCTGAGAATGCTTCCCTCTAGATTTTATATGGAGATATTCCCTTTTCCAACGAAATCTTCAAATCTATCTAAGTATCAACTTGCAGATTCTACTCAAGGAATGTTTCCAAAATGCTGTATCCAAGCAATGGTTCAACTCTGTTAATTGAGGACATACAGCACAAAGAAGTTTCTGAGAATGCTTCTGTCTAGATTTTATATGAAGATATCCCGTTTCCAACGAAATCCTCAAAGCTATCCAAATATCCACTTGCAGATTCTACAAAAAGATTGTTTCAAAACTGCTGTGTCAAAAGGAAGGTTCAACTCTGTTATTTGAGTACACACATCAAAAAGAAGTTTCTGAGAATGCTTGTTTCTGGTTTTTATGAGAAGATATTTCCTTTTTCACCATAGGCCTCAAAGCGCTGCAAAGGTCCACTTCCAAATATTACAAAAAGAGTGTTTCAAACCTGCTCTATGAAAGGAAGTTTTCAACTCTATGAGTGGAATGCAAACATCACAGAGAAGTTTCTGAGAATGCATCTGTCTTGAGTTTCTATGCAGAAATTCCCGTTTCCAATGAAATCTTAAAATCTATCCAAATATCCACCTGCAGATTCTACAAAAGGAGTGTTTCCAAAATGCTGTATCAAAACAAAGGTTCAACTGTGTTCGCTTAGGACACACATCACAAATAAGTTTCTGAGAATCCTTCTGTCTAGTTTTTATTTGAAGATATTTCCTTTCTCCCCATAGGCCTGAAAGCGCTTGAAATGTCCACTTCCAGAAACTACAGAAAGAGTGTTTCAAACCTGCACTCTGAAAAGGAATGTCAATTCTGTGACTTGAATGCAAACATCAGAAAGAAGTTCCTGAGAATGCTTCTCTCTAGATTTTATACGTCATCCCGTTTCCAACGAAATCCACAAAGCTACCCAATTATCCACTTTCAGATTCCACAAAAAGAGTGTTTTAAAATTGCTCTGTAACAGAAATGTTCAACTCTGGTAGTTGAATACACACATCACAAACAAGTTTCTGAGACGGCTTCTGTCTAGTTTTTATGGGAAGATATTTCCTTTTAACCATAGGCCTCAAAGAGCTCGAAATATCCACTTCCAGGTAGTGCCGAAAGAGTGTTTCAAACCTACTCTATAAAAGGGAATATTCAACTCTGTGACTTGAATGCAAACATCACAAAGCAGTTTCTGAGAATGCTTCCGTCTAGATTTTCTATGAAGATATTCCCGTTTCCAACGAAATCTTCAAAGCTATCTAAATATCAACTTGCAGATTCTACTAAAGGAATGTCTCCAAAATGCTGTATCCAAACAAAGGTTCAGCTCTGTGAATTGAGGACATACAGCACAAAGAAGTTTCTGAGAATGCTCCTGTCTGGATTTTATAGGAAGATAACCCGTTTCCAACGAAATCCTCAAAGCTATCCAAATATCCACTTGCAGATTCTACCAAAAGAGTGTTTCAAAACTGCTCTGTCAAAAGGAAGGTTCAACACTGTTACTTGAGTACACACAACACAAAGAAGTTTCTGAGAATGCTTCTTTCTGGTTTTTATGAGAAGATATTTCCTTTTTCACCATAGGCCTCAAAGCGCTCGAAATGTCCGCTTCCAGGTAGTGCAGAAAGAGTGTTTCAAACCTGCTCTATGAAAGGAAGTGTTCAACTCTACTGAGTTGAATGCAAACATCACAGAGATGTTTCTGAGAATGCTTCTGTCTTGATTTTATATGAAGATATTCCGGTTTCCAACGAAATCTTCAAAGCTATCCAAATATCCACCTGCAGATTCTACAAAAGGAGTGTTTCCAAAATGCTGTATCAAAACAAAGGTTCAACTCTGTTAGTTGAGGACACACATCACAAATAAGGTTACTGAGAATGCTTCTGTCTAGTTTTTATTTGAAGGTATTTCCTTTCTCTCCATAGGCCTGAAAGCGCTTGAAATGCCCACTTCCAGATACTAGAGAAAGAGTGTTTCAAACCTGCTCTATGAAAGGGAATGTTCAATTCTGTGACTTGAATGCAAACATCACAAAGAAGTTCCTGAGAATGCTTCTCTCTAGATATTATATGTCATCCCGTTTCCAACGAAATCCTCAAAGCTATCCAAATATCCACTTGCAGATTCTACAAAAAGAGTGTTTCAAAACTGCTCTGTCAAAAGGATGGTTCAACACTGTTACATGAGTACACACAACACAAAGAAGTTTCTGAGAATGCTTCTTTCTGGTTTCTATGAGAAGATATTTCCTTTTTCACCATAGGACTCAAAGCGCTCGAAATGTCCTCTTCCAGGTAGTGCAGAAAGAGTGTTTCAAACCGGCTCTATGAAAGGAAGTGTTCAACTCCATGAACTGAATGCAAACATCACTGAGAAGTTTCTGAGAATGCTTCTGTTTGATTTTATATGAAGAAATTCCCGTTTCCAACGAAATCTTCAGAGCTATCCACATATCCACCTGCAGATTCTACAAAAGGAGTGTTTCCAAAATGCTGTATCAAAACCAAGGTTCAACTCTGTTAGTTGAGGACACACATCACAAATAAGTTTCTGAGAATGCTTCTGTCTAGATTTTATATGAAGATATCCCCTTTCCAACGAATCCCTCTAAGCTATCCAAATATCCACCTGCAGATTCTACAAAAGGAGTGTTTCCAAAATGCTGTATCAAAACCAAGGTTCCACTCTGTTAGTTGAGGACAGACATCACAAATAAGTTTACTGAGGATGCTTCTGTCTAGTTTTTATTCAAAGATATTTCCTTTCTCACCATAGGCCTGAAAGCGCTTGAAATGTCCACTTCCAGATACTACAGAATGAGTGTTTCAAACCTGCTCTATAAAAGTGAATGTTCAATCCCGTGACTTCAATGCAAACATCAGAAAGAAGTTCCTGAGAATGCTTCTCTCTAGATTTTATATGTAATCCCGCTTCCAACGAAATCCTCAGAGCCATCCGAATATCCACTTTCTGATTCCACAAAAAGAGTGTTTTAAAACGGCTCTGTAAAAACAAAAGTTCAACTCTGTTAGTTGAATACACACATCACAAACAAGTTTCTGAGAATGCTTATCTGTCTAGTTTTTATGGGAAGATATTTCCTTTTTCACCATAGGCCTCAAAGCGCTCGAAATGTCCGCTTCCAGATAGTGCAGAAAGAGTGTTTCAAACGTGCTCTATAAAAGGGAATATTCAACTCTGTGACTTGAATGGAAACATCACAAAGCAGTTTCTGAGAATGCTTCCCTCTAGATTTTATATGGAGATATTCCCTTTTCCAACGAAATCTTCAAATCTATCTAAATATCAACTTGCAGATTCTACTCAAGGAATGTTTCCAAAATGCTGTATCCAGGCAATGGTTCAACTCTGTTAATTGAGGACATACAGCACAAAGAAGTTTCTGAGAATGCTTCTGTCTAGATTTTATATGAAGATATCCCGTTTCCAACGAAATCCTCAAAGCTATCCAAATATCCACTTGCAGATTCTACAAAAAGATTGTTTCAAAACTGCTGTGTCAAAAGGAAGGTTCAACTCTGTTACTTGAGTACACACATCAAAAAGAAGTTTCTGAGAATGCTTGTTTCTGGTTTTTATCAGAAGGATATTTCCTTTTTCACCATAGGCCTCAAAGCGCTGCAAGTGTCCACTTCCAAATAATACAAAAAGAGTGTTTCAAACCTGCTCTATGAAAGGAAGTTTTCAACTCTATGAGTGGAATGCAAACATCACAGAGAAGTTTCTGAGAATGCATCTGTCTTGAGCTTCTATGAAGAAATTCCCGTTTCCAACGAAATCTTAAAATCTATCCAAATATCCACCTGCAGATCCTACAAAAGGAGTGTTTCCAAAATGCTGTATCAAAACAAAGGTTCAACTGTGTTCGTTTAGGACACACATCACAAATAAGTTTCTGAGAATCCTTCTGTCTAGTTTTTATTTGAAGATATTTCCTTTCTCCCCACAGGCCTGAAAGCGCTTGAAATGTCCACTTCCAGATACTACAGAAAGAGTGTTTCAAACCTGCACTATGAAAAGGAATGTTCAATTCTGTGACTTGAATGCAAACATCAGAAAGAAGTTCCTGAGAATGCTTCTCTCTAGATTTTATACGTCATCCCGTTTCCAACGAAATCCACAAAGCTATCCAATTATCCACTTTCAGATTCCACAAAGAGTGTTTTAAAATTGCTCTGTAACAGAAATGTTCAACTCTGTTAGTTGAATACACACATCACAAACAAGTTTCTGAGACGGCTTCTGTCTAGTTTTTATGGGAAGATATTTCCTTTTAACCATAGGCCTCAAAGAGCTCGAAATATCCACTTCCAGGTAGTGCCGAAAGAGTGTTTCAAACCTACTCTATAAAAGGGAATATTCAACTCTGTGACTTGAATGCAAACATCACAAAGCAGTTTCTGAGAATGCTTCCGTCTAGATTTTCTATGAAGATATTCCCGTTTCCAACGAAATCTTCAAAGCTATCTAAATATCAACTTGCAGATTCTACTAAAGGAATGTCTCCAAAATGCTGTATCCAAACAAAGGTTCAGCTCTGTGAATTGAGGACATACAGCACAAAGAAGTTTCTGAGAATGCTCCTGTCTGGATTTTATATGAAGATAACCCGTTTCCAACGAAATCCTCAAAGCTCTCCAAATATCCACTTGCAGATTCTACCAAAAGAGTGTTTCAAAACTGCTCTGTCAAAAGGAAGGTTCAACACTGTTACTTGAGTACACACAACACAAAGAAGTTTCTGACAATGCTTCTTTCTGGTTTTTATGAGAAGATATTTCCTTTTTCACCATAGGCCTCAAAGCGCTCGAAATGTCCGCTTCCAGGTAGTGCAGAAAGAGTGTTTCAAACCTGCTCTATGAAAGGAAGTGTTCAACTCTACTGAGTTGAATGCAAACATCACAGAGATGTTTCCGAGAATGCTTCTGTCTTGATTTTATATGAAGATATTCCGGTTTCCAACGAAATCTTCAAAGCTATCCAAATATCCACCTGCAGATTCTACAAAAGGAGTGTTTCCAAAATGCTGTATCAAAACAAAGGTTCAACTCTGTTAGTTGAGGACACACATCACAAATAAGTTTCTGAGAATGCTTCTGTCTAGTTTTTATTTGAAGGTATTTCCTTTCTCTCCATAGGCCTGAAAGCGCTTGAAATGCCCACTTCCAGATACTAGAGAAAGAGTGTTTCAAACCTGCTCTATGATAGGGAATGTTCAATTCTGTGACTTGAATGCAAACATCACAAAGAAGTTCCTGAGAATGCTTCTCTCTAGATATTATATGTCATCCCGTTTCCAACGAAATCCTCAAAGCTATCCAAATATCCACTTGCAGATTCTACAAAAAGAGTGTTTCAAAACTCCTCTGTCAAAAGGATGGTTCAACACTGTTACATGAGTACACACAACACAAAGAAGTTTCTGAGAATGCTTCTTTCTGGTTTCTATGAGAAGATATTTCCTTTTTCACCATAGGCCTCAAAGCGCTCGAAAAGTCCTCTTCCAGGTAGTGCAGAAAGAGTGTTTCAAACCTGCTCTATGAAAGGAAGTGTTCAACTCCATGAGCTGAATGCAAACATCACTGAGAAGTTTCTGAGAATGCTTCTGTTTGATTTTATATGAAGAAATTCCCGTTTCCAACGAAATCTTCAGAGCTATCCACATATCCACCTGCAGATTCTACAAAAGGAGTGTTTCCAAAATGCTGTATCAAAACCAAGGTTCAACTCTGTTAGTTGAGGACACACATCACAAATAAGTTTCTGAGAATGCTTCTGTCTAGATTTTATATGAAGATATCCCCTTTCCAACGAATCCCTCTAAGCTATCCAAATATCCACCTGCAGATTCTACAAAAAGAGTGTTTCCAAAATGCTGTATCAAAACAAAGTTTCAACTCTGTTAGTTGAGGACACACATCACCAATTAGTTTGAGGATGCTTCTGTCTAGTTTTTATTCGAAGATATTTCCTTTCTCACCATAGGCCTGAAAGCGCTTGAAATGTCCACTTCCAGATACTACAGAATGAGTGTTTCAAACCTGCTCTATCAAAGTGAATGTTCAATTCTGTGACTTCAATGCAAACATCAGAAAGAAGTTCCTGAGAATGCTTCTCTCTAGATTTTATACGTAATCCCGCTTCCAACGAAATCCTCAGAGCCATCCGAATATCCACTTTCTGATTCCACAAAAAGAGTGTTTTAAAACGGCTCTGTAAAAACAAAAGTTCAACTCTGTTAGTTGAATACACACATCACAAACAAGTTTCTGAGAATGCTTCTGTCTAGTTTTTATGGGAAGATATTTCCTTTTTCACCATAGGCCTCAAAGCGCTCGAAATGTCCGCTTCCAGATAGTGCAGAAAGAGTGTTTCAAACGTGCTCTATAAAAGGGAATATTCAACTCTGTGACTTGAATGGAAACATCACAAAGCAGTTTCTGAGAATGCTTCCCTCTAGATTTTATATGGAGATATTCCCTTTTCCAACGAAATCTTCAAATCTATCTAAATATCAACTTGCAGATTCTACTCAAGGAATGTTTCCAAAATGCTGTATCCAGGCAATGGTTCAACTCTGTTAATTGAGGACATACAGCACAAAGAAGTTTCTGAGAATGCTTCTGTCTAGATTTTATATGAAGATATCCCGTTTCCAACGAAATCCTCAAAGCTATCCAAATATCCACTTGCAGATTCTACAAAAAGATTGTTTCAAAACTGCTGTGTCAAAAGGAAGGTTCAACTCTGTTACTTGAGTACACACATCAAAAAGAAGTTTCTGAGAATGCTTGTTTCTGGTTTTTATGAGAAGATATTTCCTTTTTCACCATAGGCCTCAAAGCGCTGCAAATGTCCACTTCCAAATATTACAAAAAGAGTGTTTCAAACCTGCTCTATGAAAGGAAGTTTTCAACTCTATGAGTGGAATGCAAACATCACAGAGAAGTTTCTGAGAATGCATCTGTCTTGAGCTTCTATGAAGAAATTCCCGTTTCCAACGAAATCTTAAAATCTATCCAAATATCCACCTGCAGATCCTACAAAAGGAGTGTTTCCAAAATGCTGTATCAAAACAAAGGTTCAACTGTGTTCGTTTAGGACACACATCACAAATAAGTTTCTGAGAATCCTTCTGTCTAGTTTTTATTTGAAGATATTTCCTTTCTCCCCGTAGGCCTGAAAGCGCTTGAAATGTCCACTTCCAGATACTACAGAAAGAGTGTGTTTCAAACCTGCACTCTGAAAAGGAATGTTCAATTCTGTGACTTGAATGCAAACATCAGAAAGAAGTTCCTGAGAATGCTTCTCTCTAGATTTTATACGTCATCCCGTTTCTAACGAAATCCACAAAGCTACCCAAATATCCACTTTCAGATTCCACAAAAAGAGTGTTTTAAAATTGCTCTGTAACAGAAATGTTCAACTCTGTTAGTTGAATACACACATCACAAACAAGTTTCTGAGACGGCTTCTGTCTAGTTTTTATGGGAAGATATTTCCTTTTAACCATAGGCCTCAAAGAGCTCGAAATATCCACTTCCAGGTAGTGCCGAAAGAGTGTTTCAAACCTACTCTATAAAAGGGAATATTCAACTCTGTGACTTGAATGCAAACATCACAAAGCAGTTTCTGAGAATGCTTCCGTCTAGATTTTCTATGAAGATATTCCCGTTTCCAACGAAATCTTCAAAGCTATCTAAATATCAACTTGCAGATTCTACTAAAGGAATGTCTCCAAAATGCTGTATCCAAACAAAGGTTCAGCTCTGTGAATTGAGGACATACAGCACAAAGAAGTTTCTGAGAATGCTCCTGTCTGGATTTTATATGAAGATAACCCGTTTCCAACGAAATCCTCAAAGCTCTCCAAATATCCACTTGCAGATTCTACCAAAAGAGTGTTTCAAAACTGCTCTGTCAAAAGGAAGGTTCAACACTGTTACTTGAGTACACACAACACAAAGAAGTTTCTGAGAATGCTTTCTTTCTGGTTTTTATGAGAGAATTTCCTTTTTCACCATAGGCCTCAAAGCGCTCGAAATGTCCGCTTCCAGGTAGTGCAGAAAGAGTGTTTCAAACCTGCTCTATGAAAGGAAGTGTTCAACTCTACTGAGTTGAATGCAAACATCACAGAGATGTTTCCGAGAATGCTTCTGTCTTGATTTTATATGAAGATATTCCGGTTTCCAACGAAATCTTCAAAGCTATCCAAATATCCACCTGCAGATTCTACAAAAGGAGTGTTTCCAAAATGCTGTATCAAAACAAAGGTTCAACTCTGTTAGTTGAGGACACACATCACAAATAAGTTTCTGAGAATGCTTCTGTCTAGTTTTTATTTGAAGGTATTTCCTTTCTCTCCATAGGCCTGAAAGCGCTTGAAATGCCCACTTCCAGATACTAGAGAAAGAGTGTTTCAAACCTGCTCTATGAAAGGGAATGTTCAATTCTGTGACTTGAATGCAAACATCACAAAGAAGTTCCTGAGAATGCTTCTCTCTAGATATTATATGTCATCCCGTTTCCAACGAAATCCTCAAAGCTATCCAAATATCCACTTGCAGATTCTACAAAAAGAGTGTTTCAAAACTCCTCTGTCAAAAGGATGGTTCAACACTGTTACATGAGTACACACAACACAAAGAAGTTTCTGAGAATGCTTCTTTCTGGTTTCTATGAGAAGATATTTCCTTTTTCACCATAGGACTCAAAGCGCTCGAAATGTCCTCTTCCAGGTAGTGCAGAAAGAGTGTTTCAAACCTGCTCTATGAAAGGAAGTGTACAACTCCATGAGCTGAATGCAAACATCACTGAGAAGTTTCTGAGAATGCTTCTGTTTGATTTTATATGAAGAAATTCCCGTTTCCAACGAAATCTTCAGAGCTATCCACATATCCACATGCAGATTCTACAAAAGGAGTGTTTCCAAAATGCTGTATCAAAACCAAGGTTCAACTCTGTTAGTTGAGGACACACATCACAAATAAGTTTCTGAGAATGCTTCTGTCTAGATTTTATATGAAGATATCCCCTTTCCAACGAATCCCTCTAAGCTATCCAAATATCCACCTGCAGATTCTACAAAAAGAGTGTTTCCAAAATGCTGTATCAAAACAAAGTTTCAACTCTGTTAGTTGAGGACACACATCACAAATAAGTTTGAGGATGCTTCTGTCTAGTTTTTATTCGAAGATATTTCCTTTCTCACCATAGGCCTGAAAGCGCTTGAAATGTCCACTTCCAGGTACTACAGAATGAGTGTTTCAAACCTGCTCTATCAAAGTGAATGTTCAATTCTGTGACTTCAATGCAAACATCACAAAGAAGTTCCTGAGAATGCTTCTCTCTAGATTTTATACGTAATCCCGCTTCCAACGAAATCCTCAGAGCCATCCGAATATCCACTTTCTGATTCCACAAAAAGAGTGTTTTAAAACGGCTCTGTAAAAACAAAAGTTCAACTCTGTTAGTTGAATACACACATCACAAACAAGTTTCTGAGAATGCTTCTGTCTAGTTTTTATGGGAAGATATTTCCTTTTTCACCATAGGCCTCAAAGCGCTCGAAATGTCCGCTTCCAGATAGTGCAGAAAGAGTGTTTCAAACGTGCTCTATAAAAGGGAATATTCAACTCTGTGACTTGAATGGAAACATCACAAAGCAGTTTCTGAGAATGCTTCCCTCTAGATTTTATATGGAGATATTCCCTTTTCCAACGAAATCTTCAAATCTATCTAAATATCAACTTGCAGATTCTACTCAAGGAATGTTTCCAAAATGCTGTATCCAGGCAATGGTTCAACTCTGTTAATTGAGGACATACAGCACAAAGAAGTTTCTGAGAATGCTTCTGTCTAGATTTTATATGAAGATATCCCGTTTCCAACGAAATCCTCAAAGCTATCCAAATATCCACTTGCAGATTCTACAAAAAGATTGTTTCAAAACTGCTGTGTCAAAAGGAAGGTTCAACTCTGTTACTTGAGTACACACATCAAAAAGAAGTTTCTGAGAATGCTTGTTTCTGGTTTTTATGAGAAGATATTTCCTTTTTCACCATAGGCCTCAAAGCGCTGCAAATGTCCACTTCCAAATATTACAAAAAGAGTGTTTCAAACCTGCTCTATGAAAGGAAGTTTTCAACTCTATGAGTGGAATGCAAACATCACAGAGAAGTTTCTGAGAATGCATCTGTCTTGAGCTTCTATGAAGAAATTCCCGTTTCCAACGAAATCTTAAAATCTATCCAAATATCCACCTGCAGATCCTACAAAAGGAGTGTTTCCAAAATGCTGTATCAAAACAAAGGTTCAACTGTGTTCGTTTAGGACACACATCACAAATAAGTTTACTGAGAATCCTTCTGTCTAGTTTTTATTTGAAGATATTTCCTTTCTCCCCGTAGGCCTGAAAGCGCTTGAAATGTCCACTTCCAGATACTACAGAAAGAGTGTTTCAAACCTGCACTCTGAAAAGGAATGTTCAATTCTGTGACTTGAATGCAAACATCAGAAAGAAGTTCCTGAGAATGCTTCTCTCTAGATTTTATACGTCATCCCGTTTCCAACGAAATCCACAAAGCTATCCAATTATCCACTTTCAGATTCCACAAAAAGAGTGTTTTAAAATTGCTCTGTAACAGAAATGTTCAACTCTGTTAGTTGAATACACACATCACAAACAAGTTTCTGAGACGGCTTCTGTCTAGTTTTTATGGGAAGATATTTCCTTTTAACCATAGGCCTCAAAGAGCTCGAAATATCCACTTCCAGGTAGTGCCGAAAGAGTGTTTCAAACCTATTCTATAAAAGGGAATATTCAACTCTGTGACTTGAATGCAAACATCACAAAGCAGTTTCTGAGAATGCTTCCGTCTAGATTTTCTATGAAGATATTCCCGTTTCCAGCGACATCTTCAAAGCTATCTAAATATCAACTTGCAGATTCTACTAAAGGAATGTCTCCAAAATGCTGTATCCAAACAAAGGTTCAGCTCTGTGAATTGAGGACATACAGCACAAAGAAGTTTCTGAGAATACTCCTGTCTGGATTTTATATGAAGATAACCCGTTTCCAACGAATTCCTCAAAGCTCTCCAAATATCCACTTGCAGATTCTACCAAAAGAGTGTTTCAAAACTGCTCTGTCAAAAGGAAGGTTCAACACTGTTACTTGAGTACACACAACACAAAGAAGTTTCTGAGAATGCTTCTTTCTGGTTTTTATGAGAAGATATTTCCTTTTTCACCATAGGCCTCAAAGCGCTCGAAATGTCCGCTTCCAGGTAGTGCAGAAAGAGTGTTTCAAACCTGCTCTATGAAAGGAAGTGTTCAACTCTACTGAGTTGAATGCAAACATCACAGAGATGTTTCCGAGAATGCTTCTGTCTTGATTTTATATGAAGATATTCCGGTTTCCAACGAAATCTTCAAAGCTATCCACATATCCACCTGCAGATTCTACAAAAGGAGTGTTTCCAAAATGCTGTATCAAAACAAAGGTTCACCTCTGTTAGTTGAGGACACACATCACAAATAAGTTTCTGAGAATGCTTCTGTCTAGTTTTTATTTGAAGGTATTTCCTTTCTCTCCATAGGCCTGAAAGCGCTTGAAATGCCCACTTCCAGATACTAGAGAAAGAGTGTTTCAAACCTGCTCTATGAAAGGGAATGTTCAATTCTGTGACTTGAATGCAAACATCACAAAGAAGTTCCTGAGAATGCTTCTCTCTAGATATTATATGTCATCCCGTTTCCAACGAAATCCTCAAAGCTATCCAAATATCCACTTGCAGATTCTACAAAAAGAGTGTTTCAAAACTGCTCTGTCAAAAGGATGGTTCAACACTGTTACATGAGTACACACAACACAAAGAAGTTTCTGAGAATGCTTCTTTCTGGTTTCTATGAGAAGATATTTCCTTTTTCACCATAGGACTCAAAGCGCTCGAAATGTCCTCTTCCAGGTAGTGCAGAAAGAGTGTTTCAAACCGGCTCTATGAAGGGAAGTGTTCAACTCCATGAACTGAATGCAAACATCACTGAGAAGTTTCTGAGAATGCTTCTGTTTGATTTTATATGAAGAAATTCCCGTTTCCAACGAATTCTTCAAAGCTATCCACATATCCACCTGCAGATTCTTCAAAAGGAGTGTTTCCAAAATGCTGTATCAAAACCAAGGTTCAACTCTGTTAGTTGAGGACACACATCACAAATAAGTTTCTGAGAATGCTTCTGTCTAGATTTTATATGAATTTATCCCCTTTCCAACGAATCCCTCTAAGCTATCCAAGTATCCACCTGCAGATTCTACAAAAAGAGTGTTTCCAAAATGCTGTATCAAAACAAAGTTTCAACTCTGTTAGTTGAGGACACACATCACAAATAAGTTTCTGAGGATGCTTCTGTCTAGTTTTAATTTGAAGATATTTCCTTTCTCCCCATAGGCCTGAAAGCGCTTGAAATGTCCACTTCCAGATACTACAGAATGAGTGTTTCAAACCTGCTCTATCAAAGTGAATGTTCAATTCTGTGACTTCAATGCAAACATCACAAAGTAGTTCCTGAGAATGCTTCTCTCTACATTTTATATGTAATCCCGCTTCCAACGAAATCCTCAAAGCCATCCGAATATCCACTTTCTGATTCCACAAAAAGATTGTTTTAAAACTGCTCTGTAAAAACAAAAGTTCAAGTCTGTTAGTTGAATACACACATCACAAACAAGTTTCTGAGAATGCTTCTGTCTAGTTTTTATGGGAAGATATTTCCTTTTTCACCATAGGCCTCAAAGCGCTCGAAATGTCCACTTCCAGATAGTGCCGAAAGAGTGTTTCAAACGTGCTCTATAAAAGGGAATATTCAACTCTGTGACTTGAATGGAAACATCACAAAGCAGTTTCTGAGAATGCCTCCGTCTAGATTTTATATGAAGATATTCCCGTTTCCAACGAAATCTTCAAATCTATCTAAATATCAACTTGCAGATTCTACTAAAGGAATGTTTCCAAAATGCTGTATCCAAGCAATGGTTCAACTCTGTTAATTGAGGACATACAGCACAAAGAAGTTTCTGAGAATGCTTCTGTCTAGATTTTATATGAAGATATCCCGTTTCCAACGAAATCCTCAAAGCTATCCAAATATCCACTTGCAGATTCTACAAAAAGATTGTTTCAAAACTGCTGTGTCAAAAGGAAGGTTCAACTCTGTTACTTGAGTACACACATCAAAAAGCAGTTTCTGAGAATGCTTGTTTCTGGTTTTTATGAGAAGATATTTCCTTTTTCACCATAGGCCTCAAAGCGCTGCAAATGTCCACTTCCAAATATTACAAAAAGAGTGTTTCAAACCTGCTCTATGAAAGGAAGTTTTCAACTCTGTGAGTGGAATGCAAACATCACAGAGAAGTTTCTGAGAATGCATCTGTCTTGAGTTTATATGAAGAAATTCCCGTTTCCAATGAAATCTTAAAATCTATCCAAATATCCACCTGCAGATTCTACAAAAGGAGTGTTTCCAAAATGCTGTATCAAAACAAAGGTTCAACTGTGTTCGTTTAGGACACACATCACAAATAAGTTTCTGAGAATCCTTCTGTCTAGTTTTTATTTCAAGATATTTCCTTTCTCCCCATAGGCCTGAAAGCCCTTGAAATGTCCACTTCCAGATACTACAGAGTGTTTCAAACCTGCACTATGAAAAGGAATGTTCAATTCTGTGACTTGAATGCAAACATCAGAAAGAAGTTCCTGAGAATGCTTCTCTCTAGATTTTAAACGTAATCCCGTTTCCAACGAAATCCACAAAGCTATCCAATTATCCACTTTCAGATTGCACCAAAAGAGTGTTTTAAAACTGCTCTGTAAAAAGAAATGTTCAACGCTCTTAGTTGAATACACACATCTCAAACAAGTTTCTGAGAAGGCTTCCGTCTAGTTTTTACGGGAAGATATTTCCTTTTTCACCATAGGCCTCAAAGCGCTCGAAATCTCCACTTCCAGGGAGTGCAGAAAGAGTGTTTCAAACCTGCTCTATAAAAGAATATTTAACTCTGTGACTTGAATGCAAACATCACAGAGCAGTTTCTGACAATGTTTCCGTCTAGATTTTTTATGAAGATATTCCCGTTTCCAACGAAATCTTCAAAGCTATCTAAATATCAACTTGCAGATTCTACTAAAGGAATGTTTCCAAAATGCTGTATCCAAACAAAGGTTCAACTCTGTGAATTGAGGACATACAGCACAAAGAAGTTTCTGAGAATGCTTCTGTCTAGATTTAATATGAAGATAACCCGTTTCCAACGAAATCCTCAAAGCTATCCAAATATCCACTGGCAGATTCTACAAAAAGAGTGTTTCAAAACTGCTCTGTCAAAAGGATGGTTCAACACTGTTACATGAGTACACACAACACAAAGAAGTTTCTGAGAACGCTTCTTTCTGGTTTTTATGAGAGGATATTTCCTTTTTCACCATAGGCCTCAAAGCGCTCGAAATGTCCACTTCCAGGTAGTGCAGAAAGAGTGTTTCAAACCTGCTCTATGAAAGGAAGTGTTCAACTCCATGAGCTGAATGCAAACATCACAGAGAAGTTCCTGAGAATGCTTCTGTTTGATTTTATATGAAGAAATTCCCGTTTCCAACGAAATCTTCAAAGCTATCCACATATCCACCTGCAGATTCTTCAAAAGGAGTGTTTCCAAAATGCTGTATCAAAACCAAGGTTCAACTCTGTTAGTTGAGGACACACATCACAAATAAGTTTCTGAGAATGCTTCTGTCTAGATTTTATATGAAGATATCCCCTTTCCAACGAATCCCTCTAAGCTATCCAAATAGCCACCTGCAGATTCTACAAAAGGAGTGTTTCCAAAAGGCTGTATCAAAACAAAGTTTCAACTCTGTTAGTTGAGGACACACATCACAAATAAGTTTCCTGAGGATGCTTCTGTCTAGTTTTTATTTGAAGATATTTCCTTTCTCCCCATAGGCCTGAAAGCACTTGAAATGTCCACTTCCAGATACTACAGAATGAGTGTTTCAAACCTGCTCTATCAAAGTGAATGTTCAATTCTGTGACTTCAATGCAAACATCACAAAGTAGTTCCTGAGAATGCTTCTCTCTAGATTTTATATGTAATCACGCTTCCAACGAAATCCTCAAAGCCATCCGAATATCCACTTTCTGATTCCACAAAAAGATTGTTTTAAAACTGCTCTGTAAAAACAAAAGTTCAAGTCTGTTAGTTGAATACACACATCACAAACAAGTTTCTGAGAATGCTTCTGTCTAGTTTTTATGGGAAGATATTTCCTTTTTCACCATAGGCCTCAAAGCGCTCGAAATGTCCACTTCCAGATAGTGCAGAAAGAGTGTTTCAAACGTGCTCTATAAAAGAGAATATTCAACTCTGTGACTTGAATGGAAACATCACAAAGCAGTTTCTGAGAATGCCTCCGTCTAGATTTTATATGAAGATATTCCCGTTTCCAACGAAATGTTCAAATCTATCTAAATATCAACTTGCAGATTCTACTAAAGGAATGTTTCCAAAATGCTGTATCCAAGCAATGGTTCAACTCTGTTAATTGAGGACATACAGCACAAAGAAGTTTCTGAGAATGCTTCTGTCTAGATTTTATATGAAGATATCCCGTTTCCAACGAAATCCTCAAAGCTATCCAAATATCCACTTGCAGATTCTACAAAAAGATTGTTTCAAAACTGCTGTGTCAAAAGGAAGGTTCAACTCTGTTACTTGAGTACACACATCAAAAAGCAGTTTCTGAGAATGCTTGTTTCTGGTTTTTATGAGAAGATATTTCCTTTTTCACCATAGGCCTCAAAGCGCTGCAAATGTCCACTTCCAAATATTACAAAAAGAGTGTTTCAAACCTGCTCTATGAAAGGAAGTTTTCAACTCTGTGAGTGGAATGCAAACATCACAGAGAAGTTTCTGAGAATGCATCTGTCTTGAGTTTATATGAAGAAATTCCCGTTTCCAATGAAATCTTAAAATCTATCCAAATATCCACCTGCAGATTCTACAAAAGGAGTGTTTCCAAAATGCTGTATCAAAACAAAGTTTCAACTGTGTTCGTTTAGGACACACATCACAAATAAGTTTCTGAGAATCCTTCTGTCTAGTTTTTATTTCAAGATATTTCCTTTCTCCCCATAGGCTTGAAAGCGCTTGAAATGTCCACTTCCAGATACTACAGAGTGTTTCAAACCTGCACTATGAAAAGGAATGTTCAATTCTGTGACTTGAATGCAAACATCAGAAAGAAGTTCCTGAGAATGCTTCTCTCTAGATTTTAAACGTAATCCCGTTTCCAACGAAATCCACAAAGCTATCCCATTAACCACTTTCAGATTCCACCAAAAGAGTGTTTGAAAACTGCTCTGTAAAAAGAAATGTTCAACGCTCTTAGTTGAATACACACATCTCAAACAAGTTTCTGAGAAGGCTTCCGTCTAGTTTTTATGGGAAGATATTTCCTTTTTCACCATAGGCCTCAAAGCGCTCGAAATCGCCACTTCCAGGGAGTGCAGAAAGAGTGTTTCAAACCTGCTCTGTAAAAGAATATTTAACTCTGTGACTTGAATGCAAACATCACAGAGCAGTTTCTGACAATGCTTCCGTCTAGATTTTTTATGAAGATATTCCCGTTTCCAACGAAATCTTCAAAGCTATCTAAATATCAACTTGCAGATTCTACTAAAGGAATGTTTCCAAAATGCTGTATCCAAACAAAGGTTCAACTCTGTGAATTGAGGACATACAGCACAAAGAAGTTTCTGAGAATGCTTCTGTCTAGATTTAATATGAAGATAACCCGTTTCCAACGAAATCCTCAAAGCTATCCAAATATCCACTTGCAGATTCTACAAAAAGAGTGTTTCAAAACTGCTCTGTCAAAAGGATGGTTCAACACTGTTACATGAGTACACACAACACAAAGAAGTTTCTGAGAACGCTTCTTTCTGGTTTTTATGAGAAGATATTTCCTTTTTCACCATAGGCCTCAAAGCGCTCAAAATGTCCACTTCCTGGTAGTGCAGAAAGAGTGTTTCAAACCTGCTCTATGAAAGGAAGTGTTCAACTCCATGAGCTGAATGCAAACATCACAGAGAAGTTTCTGAGAATGCTTCTGTTTGATTTTATATGAAGAAATTCCCGTTTCCAACGAAATCTTCAAAGCTATCCACATATCCACCTGCAGATTCTACAAAAGGAGTGTTTCCAAAATGCTGTATCAAAACCAAGGTTCCACTCTGTTAGTTGAGGACACACATCACAAATAAGTTTCTGAGAATGCTTCTGTCTAGCATTTTATATGAAGATATCCCCTTTCCAACGAATCCCTCTAAGCTATCCAAATATCCACCTGCAGATTCTACAAAAAGAGTGTTTCCAAAATGCTGTATCAAAACAAAGTTTCAACTCTGTTAGTTGAGGACACACATCACAAATAAGTTTCTGAGGATGCTTCTGTCTAGTTTTTATTCGAAGATATTTCCTTTCTCACCATAGGCCTGAAAGCGCTTGAAATGTCCACTTCCAGATCCTACAGAATGAGTGTTTCAAACCTGCTCTATCAAAGTGAATGTTCAATTCTGTGACTTCAATGCAAACATCACAAAGAAGTTCCTGAGAATGCTTCTCTCTAGATTTTATATGTAATCCCGCTTCCAACGAAATCCTCAGAGCCATCCGAATATCCACTTTCTGATTCCACAAAAAGAGTGTTTTAAAACGGCTCTGTAAAAACAAAAGTTCAACTCTGTTAGTTGAATACACACATCACAAACAAGTTTCTGAGAATGCTTCTGTCTAGTTTTTATGGGAAGATATTTCCTTTTTCACCATAGGCCTCAAAGCGCTCGAAATGTCCACTTCCAGATAGCGCAGAAAGAGTGTTTCAAACGTGCTCTATAAAAGGGAATATTCAACTCTGTGACTTGAAAGGAAACATCACAAAGCAGTTTCTGAGAATGCTTCCCTCTAGATTTTATATGGAGATATTCCGTTTTCGAACGAAATCTTCAAATCTATCTAAATATCAACTTGCAGATTCTACTCAAGGAATGTTTCCAAAATGCTGTATGCAAGCAATGGTTCAACTCTGTTAATTGAGGTCATACAGCACAAAGAAGTTTCTGAGAATGCTTCTGTCTAGATTTTATATGAAGATATCCCGTTTCCAACGAAATCCTCAAAGCTATCCAAATATCCACTTGCAGATTCTACAAAAAGATTGTTTCAAAACTGCTGTGTCAAAAGGAAGGTTCAACTCTGTTACTTGAGTACACACATCAAAAAGAAGTTTCTGAGAATGCTTGTTTCTGGTTTTTATGAGAAGATATTTCCTTTTTCACCATAGGCCTCAAAGCGCTGCAAATGTCCACTTCCAAATATTACAAAAAGAGTGTTTCAAACCTGCTCTATGAAAGGAAGTTTTCAACTCTATGAGTGGAATGCAAACATCACAGAGAAGTTTCTGAGAATGCATCTGTCTTGAGTTTATATGCAGAAATTCCCGTTTCCAACGAAATCTTAAAATCTATCCAAATATCCACCTGCAGATCCTACAAAAGGAGTGTTTCCAAAATGCTGTATCAAAACAAAGGTTCAACTGTGTTCGTTTAGGACACACATCACAAATAAGTTTCTGAGAATCCTTCTCTCTAGTTTTTATTTGAAGATATTTCCTTTCTCCCCGTAGGCCTGAAAGCGCTTGAAATGTCCACTTCCAGATACTACAGAAAGAGTGTTTCAAACCTGCACTCTGAAAAGGAATGTTCAATTCTGTGACTTGAATGCAAACATCAGAAAGAAGTTCCTGAGAATGCTTCTCTCTAGATTTTATACGTCATCCTGTTTCCAACGAAATCCACAAAGCTATCCAATTATCCACTTTCAGATTCCACAAAGAGTGTTTTAAAATTGCTCTGTAACAGAAATGTTCAACTCTGTTAGTTGAATACACAGATCACAAACAAGTTTCTGAGACGGCTTCTGTCTAGTTTTTATGGGAAGATATTTCCTTTTAACCATAGGCCTCAAAGAGCTCGAAATATCCACTTCCAGGTAGTGCCGAAAGAGTGTTTCAAACCTACTCTATAAAAGGGAATATTCAACTCTGTGACTTGAATGCAAACATCACAAAGCAGTTTCTGAGAATGCTTCCATCTAGATTTTCTATGAAGATATTCCCGTTTCCAACGAAATCTTCAAAGCTATCTAAATATCAACTTGCAGATTCTACTAAAGGAATGTCTCCAAAATGCTGTATCCAAACAAAGGTTCAGCTCTGTGAATTGAGGACATACAGCACAAAGAAGTTTCTGAGAATGCTCCTGTCTGGATTTTATATGAAGATAACCCGTTTCCAACGAAATCCTCAAAGCTATCCAAATATCCACTTGCAGATTCTACCAAAAGAGTGTTTCAAAACTGCTCTGTCAAAAGGAAGGTTCAACACTGTTACTTGAGTACACACAACACAAAGAAGTTTCTGAGAATGCTTCTTTCTGGTTTTTATGAGAAGATATTTCCTTTTTCACCATAGGCCTCAAAGCGCTCGAAATGTCCGCTTCCAGGTAGTGCAGAAAGAGTGTTTCAAACCTGCTCTATGAAAGGAAGTGTTCAACTCTACTGAGTTGAATGCAAACATCACAGAGATGTTTCCGAGAATGCTTCTGTCTTGATTTTATATGAAGATATTCCGGTTTCCAACGAAATCTTCAAAGCTATCCGAATATCCACCTGCAGATTCTACAAAAGGAGTGTTTCCAAAATGCTGTATCAAAACAAAGGTTCAACTCTGTTAGTTGAGGACACACATCACAAATAAGTTTCTGAGAATGCTTCTGTCTAGTTTTTATTTGAAGGTATTTCCTTTCTCTCCATAGGCCTGAAAGCGCTTGAAATGCCCACTTCCAGATACTAGAGAAAGAGTGTTTCAAACCTGCTCTATGAAAGGGAATGTTCAATTCTGTGACTTGAATGCAAACATCACAAAGAAGTTCCTGAGAATGCTTCTCTCTAGATATTATATGTCATCCCGTTTCCAACGAAATCCTCAAAGCTATCCAAATATCCACTTGCAGATTCTACAAAAAGAGTGTTTCAAAACTGCTCTGTCAAAAGGATGGTTCAACACTGTTACATGAGTACACACAACACAAAGAAGTTTCTGAGAATGCTTCTTTCTGGTTTCTATGAGAAGATATTTCCTTTTTCACCATAGGACTCAAAGCGCTCGAAATGTCCTCTTCCAGGTAGTGCAGAAAGAGTGTTTCAAACCGGCTCTATGAAAGGAAGTGTTCAAATCCATGAACTGAATGCAAACATCACTGAGAAGTTTCTGAGAATGCTTCTGTTTGATTTTCTATGAAGAAATTCCCGTTTCCAACGAAATCTTCAGAGCTATCCACATATCCACCTGCAGATTCTACAAAAGGAGTGTTTCCAAAATGCTGTATCAAAACCAAAGTTCAACTCTGTTAGTTGAGGACACACATCACAAATAAGTTTCTGAGAATGCTTCTGTCTAGATTCTATATGAAGATATCCCCTTTCCAACGAATCCCTCTAAGCTATCCAAATATCCACCTGCAGATTCTACAAAAAGAGTGTTTCCAAAATGCTGTATCAAAACAAAGGTTCAACTCTGTTAGTTGAGGACACACATCACAAATAAGTTTGAGGATGCTTCTGTCTAGTTTTTATTCGAAGATATTTCCTTTCTCACCATAGGCCTGAAAGCGCTTGAAATGTCCACTTCCAGATACTACAGAATGAGTGTTTCAAACCTGCTCTATCAAAGTGAATGTTCAATTCTGTGACTTCAATGCAAACATCACAAAGAAGTTCCTGAGAATGCTTCTCTCTAGATTTTATATGTAATCCCGCTTCCAACGAAATCCTCAGAGCCATCCGAATATCCACTTTCTGATTCCACAAAAAGAGTGTTTTAAAACGGCTCTGTAAAAACAAAAGTTCAACTCTGTTAGTTGAATACACACATCACAAACAAGTTTCTGAGACGGCTTCTGTCTAGTTTTTATGGGAAGATATTTCCTTTTTCACCATAGGCCTCAAAGCGCTCGAAATGTCCACTTCCAGATAGTGCAGAAAGAGTGTTTCAAACGTGCTCTATAAAAGGGAATATTCAACTCTGTGACTTGAATGGAAACATCACAAAGCAGTTTCTGAGAATGCTTCCCTCTAGATTTTATATGGAGATATTCCGTTTTCGAACGAAATCTTCAAATCTATCTAAATATCAACTTGCAGATTCTACTCAAGGAATGTTTCCAAAATGCTGTATGCAAGCAATGGTTCAACTCTGTAAATTGAGGTCATACAGCACAAAGAAGTTTCTGAGAATGCTTCTGTCTAGATTTTATATGAAGATATCCCGTTTCCAACGAAATCCTCAAAGCTATCCAAATATCCACTTGCAGATTCTACAAAAAGATTGTTTCAAAACTGCTGTGTCAAAAGGAAGGTTCAACTCTGTTACTTGAGTACACACATCAAAAAGAAGTTTCTGAGAATGCTTGTTTCTGGTTTTTATGAGAAGATATTTCCTTTTTCACCATAGGCCTCAAAGCGCTGCAAAGGTCCACTTCCAAATATTACAAAAAGAGTGTTTCAAACCTGCTCTATGAAAGGAAGTTTTCAACTCTATGAGTGGAATGCAAACATCACAGAGAAGTTTCTGAGAATGCATCTGTCTTGAGTTTCTATGCAGAAATTCCCGTTTCCAATGAAATCTTAAAATCTATCCAAATATCCACCTGCAGATTCTACAAAAGGAGTGTTTCCAAAATGCTGTATCAAAACAAAGGTTCAACTGTGTTCACTTAGGACACACATCACAAATAAGTTTCTGAGAATCCTTCTGTCTAGTTTTTATTTGAAGATATTTCCTTTCTCCCCGTAGGCCTGAAAGCGCTTGAAATGTCCACTTCCAGATACTACAGAAAGAGTGTTTCAAACCTGCACTCTGAAAAGGAATGTCAATTCTGTGACTTGAATGCAAACATCAGAAAGAAGTTCCTGAGAATGCTTCTCTCTAGATTTTATACGTCATCCCGTTTCCAACGAAATCCACAAAGCTACCCAATTATCCACTTTCAGATTCCACAAAAAGAGTGTTTTAAAATTGCTCTGTAACAGAAATGTTCAACTCTGTTAGTTGAATACACACATCACAAACAAGTTTCTGAGACGGCTTCTGTCTAGTTTTTATGGGAAGATATTTCCTTTTAACCATAGGCCTCAAAGAGCTCGAAATATCCACTTCCAGGTAGTGCCGAAAGAGTGTTTCAAACCTACTCTATAAAAGGGAATATTCAGCTCTGTGACTTGAATGCAAACATCACAAAGCAGTTTCTGAGAATGCTTCCGTCTAGATTTTCTATGAAGATATTCCCGTTTCCAACGAAATCTTCAAAGCTATCTAAATATCAACTTGCAGATTCTACTAAAGGAATGTCTCCAAAATGCTGTATCCAAACAAAGGTTCAGCTCTGTGAATTGAGGACATACAGCACAAAGAAGTTTCTGAGAATGCTCCTGTCTGGATTTTATATGAAGATAACCCGTTTCCAACGAAATCCTCAAAGCTATCCAAATATCCACTTGCAGATTCTACCAAAAGAGTGTTTCAAAACTGCTCTGTCAAAAGGAAGGTTCAACACTGTTACTTGAGTACACACAACACAAAGAAGTTTCTGAGAATGCTTCTTTCTGGTTTTTATGAGAAGATATTTCCTTTTTCACCATAGGCCTCAAAGCGCTCGAAATGTCCGCTTCCAGGTAGTGCAGAAAGAGTGTTTCAAACCTGCTCTATGAAAGGAAGTGTTCAACTCTACTGAGTTGAATGCAAACATCACAGAGATGTTTCCGAGAATGCTTCTGTCTTGATTTTATATGAAGATATTCCGGTTTCCAACGAAATCTTCAAAGCTATCCAAATATCCACCTGCAGATTCTACAAAAGGAGTGTTTCCAAAATGCTGTATCAAAACAAAGGTTCAACTCTGTTAGTTGAGGACACACATCACAAATAAGTTTCTGAGAATGCTTCTGTCTAGTTTTTATTTGAAGGTATTTCCTTTCTCTCCATAGGCCTGAAAGCGCTTGAAATGCCCACTTCCAGATACTAGAGAAAGAGTGTTTCAAACCTGCTCTATGAAAGGGAATGTTCAATTCTGTGACTTGAATGCAAACATCACAAAGAAGTTCCTGAGAATGCTTCTCTCTAGTATATTATATGTCATCCCGTTTCCAACGAAATCCTCAAAGCTATCCAAATATCCACTTGCAGATTCTACAAAAAGAGTGTTTCAAAACTGCTCTGTCAAAAGGATGGTTCAACACTGTTACATGAGTACACACAACACAAAGAAGTTTCTGAGAATGCTTCTTTCTGGTTTCTATGAGAAGATATTTCCTTTTTCACCATAGGACTCAAAGCGCTCGAAATGTCCTCTTCCAGGTAGTGCAGAAAGAGTGTTTCAAACCTGCTCTATGAAAGGAAGTGTACAACTCCATGAGCTGAATGCAAACATCACTGAGAAGTTTCTGAGAATGCTTCTGTTTGATTTTATATGAAGAAATTCCCGTTTCCAACGAAATCTTCAGAGCTATCCACATATCCACATGCAGATTCTACAAAAGGAGTGTTTCCAAAATGCTGTATCAAAACCAAGGTTCAACTCTGTTAGTTGAGGACACACATCACAAATAAGTTTCTGAGAATGCTTCTGTCTAGATTCTATATGAAGATATCCCCTTTCCAACGAATCCCTCTAAGCTATCCAAATATCCACCTGCAGATTCTACAAAAAGAGTGTTTCCAAAATGCTGTATCAAAACAAAGTTTCAACTCTGTTAGTTGAGGACACACATCACAAATAAGTTTGAGGATGCTTCTGTCTAGTTTTAATTTGAAGATATTTCCTTTCTCACCATAGGCCTGAAAGCGCTTGAAATGTCCACTTCCAGATACTACAGAATGAGTGTTTCAAACCTGCTCTATCAAAGTGAATGTTCAATTCTGTGACTTCAATGCAAACATCACAAAGTAGTTCCTGAGAATGCTTCTCTCTAGATTTTATATGTAATCCCGCTTCCAACGAAATCCTCAAAGCCATCCGAATATCCACTTTCTGATTCCACAAAAAGATTGTTTTAAAACTGCTCTGTAAAAACAAAAGTTCAAGTCTGTTAGTTGAATACACACATCACAAACAAGTTTCTGAGAATGCTTCTGTCTAGTTTTTATGGGAAGATATTTCCTTTTTCACCATAGGCCTCAAAGCGCTCGAAATGTCCACTTCCAGATAGTGCAGAAAGAGTGTTTCAAACGTGCTCTAGAAAAGAGAATATTCAACTCTGTGACTTGAATGGAAACATCACAAAGCAGTTTTCTGAGAATGCCTCCGTCTAGATTTTATATGAAGATATTCCCGTTTCCAACGAAATCTTCAAAGCTATCTAAATATCAACTTGCAGATTCTACTAAAGGAATGTTTCCAAAATGCTGTATCCAAGCAATGGTTCAACTCTGTTAATTGAGGACATACAGCACAAAGAAGTTTCTGAGAATGCTTCTGTCTAGATTTTATATGAAGATATCCCGTTTCCAACGAAATCCTCAAAGCTATCCAAATATCCACTTGCAGATTCTACAAAAAGATTGTTTCAAAACTGCTGTGTCAAAAGGAAGGTTCAACTCTGTTACTTGAGTACACACATCAAAAAGCAGTTTCTGAGAATGCTTGTTTCTGGTTTTTATGAAAAGATATTTCCTTTTTCACCATAGGCCTCAAAGCGCTGCAAATGTCCACTTCCAAATATTACAAAAAGAGTGTTTCAAACCTGCTCTATGAAAGGAAGTTTTCAACTCTGTGAGTGGAATGCAAACATCACAGAGAAGTTTCTGAGAATGCATCTGTCTTGAGTTTATATGAAGAAATTCCCGTTTCCAATGAAATCTTAAAATCTATCCAAATATCCACCTGCAGATTCTACAAAAGGAGTGTTTCCAAAATGCTGTATCAAAACAAAGGTTCAACTGTGTTCGTTTAGGACACACATCACAAATAAGTTTCTGAGAATCCTTCTGTCTAGTTTTTATTTGAAGATATTTCCTTTCTCCCCGTAGGCCTGAAAGCGCTTGAAATGTCCACTTCCAGATACTACAGAAAGAGTGTGTTTCAAACCTGCACTCTGAAAAGGAATGTTCAATTCTGTGACTTGAATGCAAACATCAGAAAGAAGTTCCTGAGAATGCTTCTCTCTAGATTTTATACGTCATCCCGTTTCCAACGAAATCCACAAAGCTATCCAATTATCCACTTTCAGATTCCACAAAAAGAGTGTTTTAAAATTGCTCTGTAACAGAAATGTTCAACTCTGGTAGTTGAATACACACATCACAAACAAGTTTCTGAGACGGCTTCTGTCTAGTTTTTATGGGAAGATATTTCCTTTTAACCATAGGCCTCAAAGAGCTCGAAATATCCACTTCCAGGTAGTGCCGAAAGAGTGTTTCAAACCTACTCTATAAAAGGGAATATTCAACTCTGTGACTTGAATGCAAACATCACAAAGCAGTTTCTGAGAATGCTTCCGTCTAGATTTTCTATGAAGATATTCCCGTTTCCAACGAAATCTTCAAAGCTATCTAAATATCAACTTGCAGATTCTACTAAAGGAATGTCTCCAAAATGCTGTATCCAAACAAAGGTTCAGCTCTGTGAATTGAGGACATACAGCACAAAGAAGTTTCTGAGAATGCTCCTGTCTGGATTTTATAGGAAGATAACCCGTTTCCAACGAAATCCTCAAAGCTCTCCAAATATCCACTTGCAGATTCTACCAAAAGAGTGTTTCAAAACTGCTCTGTCAAAAGGAAGGTTCAACACTGTTACTTGAGTACACACAACACAAAGAAGTTTCTGAGAATGCTTCTTTCTGGTTTTTATGAGAAGATATTTCCTTTTTCACCATAGGCCTCAAAGCGCTCGAAATGTCCGCTTCCAGGTAGTGCAGAAAGAGTGTTTCAAACCTGCTCTATGAAAGGAAGTGTTCAACTCTACTGAGTTGAATGCAAACATCACAGAGATGTTTCCGAGAATGCTTCTGTCTTGATTTTATATGAAGATATTCCGGTTTCCAACGAAATCTTCAAAGCTATCCAAATATCCACCTGCAGATTCTACAAAAGGAGTGTTTCCAAAATGCTGTATCAAAACAAAGGTTCAACTCTGTTAGTTGAGGACACACATCACAAATAAGTTTCTGAGAATGCTTCTGTCTAGTTTTTATTTGAAGGTATTTCCTTTCTCTCAATAGGCCTGAAAGCGCTTGAAATGCCCACTTCCAGATACTAGAGAAAGAGTGTTTCAAACCTGCTCTATGAAAGGCAATGTTCAATTCTGTGACTTGAATGCAAACATCACAAAGAAGTTCCTGAGAATGCTTCTCTCTAGATATTATATGTCATCCCGTTTCCAACGAAATCCTCAAAGCTATCCAAATATCCACTTGCAGATTCTACAAAAAGAGTGTTTCAAAACTCCTCTGTCAAAAGGATGGTTCAACACTGTTACATGAGTACACACAACACAAAGAAGTTTCTGAGAATGCTTCTTTCTGGTTTCTATGACAAGATATTTCCTTTTTCACCATAGGACTCAAAGCGCTCGAAATGTCCTCTTCCAGGTAGTGCAGAAAGAGTGTTTCAAACCTGCTCTATGAAAGGAAGTGTTCAACTCCATGAGCTGAATGCAAACATCACTGAGAAGTTTCTGAGAATGCTTCTGTTTGATTTTATATGAAGAAATTCCCGTTTCCAACGAAATCTTCAGAGCTATCCACATATCCCCCTGCAGATTCTACAAAAGGAGTGTTTCCAAAATGCTGTATCAAAACCAAGGTTCAACTCTGTTAGTTGAGGACACACATCACAAATAAGTTTCTGAGAATGCTTCTGTCTAGATTTTATATGAAGATATCCCCTTTCCAACGAATCCCTCTAAGCTATCCAAACATCCACCTGCAGATTCTACAAAAGAGTGTTTCCAAAATGCTGTATCAAAACAAAGTTTCAACTCTGTTAGTTGAGGACACACATCACAAATAAGTTTCTGAGGATGCTTCTCTCTAGTTTTTATTTGAAGATATTTCCTTTCTCCCCATAGGCCTGAAAGCGCTTGAATTGTCCGCTTCCAGATACTACAGAATGAGTGTTTCAAACCTGCTCTATCAAAGTGAATGTTCAATTCTGTGACTTCAATGCAAACGTCACAAAGTAGTTCCTGAGAATGCTTCTCTCTAGATTTTATATGTAATCCCGCTTCCAACGAAGTCCTCAAAGCCATCCGAATATCCACTTTCTGATTCCACAAAAAGATTGTCTTAAAACTGCTCTGTAAAAACAAAAGTTCAAGTCTGTTAGTTGAATACACACATCATAAACAAGTTTCTGAGAATGATTCTGTCTAGTTTTTATGGGAAGATATTTCCTTTTTCACCGTAGGCCTCACTGCGCTCGAAATGTCCACTAACAGATAGTACAGAAAGAGTGTTTCAAACGTGCTCTACAAAAGAGAATATTCAACTCTGTGCCTTGAATGGAAACATCACAAAGCAGTTTCTGAGAATGCCTCCGTCTAGATTTTATATGAAGATATTCCCGTTTCCAACGAAATCTTCAAATCTATCTAAATATCAACTTGCAGATTCTACTAAAGGAATGTTTCCAAAATGCTGTATCCATGCAATGGTTCAACTCTGTTAATTGAGGACATACAGCACAAAGAAGTTTCTGAGAATGCTTCTGTCTAGATTTTATATGAAGATATCCCGTTTCCAACGAAATCCTCAAAGCTATCCAAATATCCACTTGCAGATTCTACAAAAAGATTGTTTCAAAACTGCTGTGTCAAAAGGAAGGTTCAACTCTGTTACTTGAGTACACACATCAAAAAGAAGTTTCTGAGAATGCTTGTTTCTGGTTTTTATGAGAAGATATTTCCTTTTTCACCATAGGCCTCAAAGCGCTGCAAATGTCCACTTCCAAATATTACAAAAAGAGTGTTTCAAACCTGCTCTATGAAAGGAAGTTTTCAACTCTATGAGTGGAATGCAAACATCACAGAGAAGTTTCTGAGAATGCATCTGTCTTGAGCTTCTATGAAGAAATTCCCGTTTCCAACGAAATCTTAAAATCTATCCAAATATCCACCTGCAGATCCTACAAAAGGAGTGTTTCCAAAATGCTGTATCAAAACAAAGGTTCAACTGTGTTCGTTTAGGACACACATCACAAATAAGTTTCTGAGAATCCTTCTGTCTAGTTTTTATTTGAAGATATTTCCTTTCTCCCCGTAGGCCTGAAAGCGCTTGAAATGTCCACTTCCAGATACTACAGAAAGAGTGTTTCAAACCTGCACTCTGAAAAGGAATGTTCAATTCTGTGACTTGAATGCAAACATCAGAAAGAAGTTCCTGAGAATGCTTCTCTCTAGATTTTATACGTCATCCCGTTTCCAACGAAATCCACAAAGCTATCCAATTATCCACTTTCAGATTCCACAAAGAGTGTTTTAAAATTGCTCTGTAACAGAAATGTTCAACTCTGGTAGTTGAATACACACATCACAAACAAGTTTCTGAGACGGCTTCTGTCTAGTTTTTATGGGAAGATATTTCCTTTTAACCATAGGCCTCAAAGAGCTCGAAATATCCACTTCCAGGTAGTGCCGAAAGAGTGTTTCAAACCTACTCTATAAAAGGGAATATTCAACTCTGTGACTTGAATGCAAACATCACAAAGCAGTTTCTGAGAATGCTTCCGTCTAGATTTTCTATGAAGATATTCCCGTTTCCAACGAAATCTTCAAAGCTATCTAAATATCAACTTGCAGATTCTACTAAAGGAATGTCTCCAAAATGCTGTATCCAAACAAAGGTTCAGCTCTGTGAATTGAGGACATACAGCACAAAGAAGTTTCTGAGAATGCTCCTGTCTGGATTTTATAGGAAGATAACCCGTTTCCAACGAAATCCTCAAAGCTATCCAGATATCCACTTGCAGATTCTACCAAAAGAGTGTTTCAAAACTGCTCTGTCAAAAGGAAGGTTCAACACTGTTACTTGAGTACACACAACACAAAGAAGTTTCTGAGAATGCTTCTTTCTGGTTTTTATGAGAAGATATTTCCTTTTTCACCATAGGCCTCAAAGCGCTCGAAATGTCCGCTTCCAGGTAGTGCAGAAAGAGTGTTTCAAACCTGCTCTATGAAAGGAAGTGTTCAACTCTACTGAGTTGAATGCAAACATCACAGAGATGTTTCCGAGAATGCTTCTGTCTTGATTTTATATGAAGATATTCCGGTTTCCAACGAAATCTTCAAAGCTATCCAAATATCCACCTGCAGATTCTACAAAAGGAGTGTTTCCAAAATGCTGTATCAAAACAAAGGTTCAACTCTGTTAGTTGAGGACACACATCACAAATAAGTTTCTGAGAATGCTTCTGTCTAGTTTTTATTTGAAGGTATTTCCTTTCTCTCCATAGGCCTGAAAGCGCTTGAAATGCCCACTTCCAGATACTAGAGAAAGAGTGTTTCAAACCTGCTCTATGAAAGGGAATGTTCAATTCTGTGACTTGAATGCAAACATCACAAAGAAGTTCCTGAGAATGCTTCTCTCTAGATATTATATGTCATCCCGTTTCCAACGAAATCCTCAAAGCTATCCAAATATCCACTTGCAGATTCTACAAAAAGAGTGTTTCAAAACTGCTCTGTCAAAAGGATGGTTCAACACTGTTACATGAGTACACACAACACAAAGAAGTTTCTGAGAATGCTTCTTTCTGGTTTCTATGAGAAGATATATCCTTTTTCACCATAGGACTCAAAGCGCTCGAAATGTCCTCTTCCAGGTAGTGCAGAAAGAGTGTTTCAAACCTGCTCTATGAAAGGAAGTGTACAACTCCATGAGCTGAATGCAAACATCACTGAGAAGTTTCTGAGAATGCTTCTGTTTGATTTTATATGAAGAAATTCCCGTTTCCAACGAAATCTTCAGAGCTATCCACATATCCACCTGCAGATTCTACAAAAGGAGTGTTTCCAAAATGCTGTATCAAAACCAAAGTTCAACTCTGTTAGTTGAGGACACACATCACAAATAAGTTTCTGAGAATGCTTCTGTCTAGATTCTATATGAAGATATCCCCTTTCCAACGAATCCCTCTAAGCTATCCAAATATCCACCTGCAGATTCTACAAAAAGAGTGTTTCCAAAATGCTGTATCAAAACAAAGTTTCAACTCTGTTAGTTGAGGACACACATCACAAATAAGTTTGAGGATGCTTCTGTCTAGTTTTTATTCGAAGATATTTCCTTTCTCACCATAGGCCTGAAAGCGCTTGAAATGTCCACTTCCAGATACTACAGAATGAGTGTTTCAAACCTGCTCTATCAAAGTGAATGTTCAATTCTGTGACTTCAATGCAAACATCACAAAGAAGTTCCTGAGAATGCTTCTCTCTAGATTTTATATGTAATCCCGCTTCCAACGAAATCCTCAGAGCCATCCGAATATCCACTTTCTGATTCCACAAAAAGAGTGTTTTAAAACGGCTCTGTAAAAACAAAAGTTCAACTCTGTTAGTTGAATACACACATCACAAACAAGTTTCTGAGAATGCTTCTGTCTAGTTTTTATGGGAAGATATTTCCTTTTTCACCATAGGCCTCAAAGCGCTCGAAATGTCCACTTCCAGATAGCGCAGAAAGAGTGTTTCAAACGTGCTCTATAAAAGGGAATATTCAACTCTGTGACTTGAATGGAAACATCACAAAGCAGTTTCTGAGAATGCTTCCCTCTAGATTTTATATGGAGATATTCCGTTTTCGAACGAAATCTTCAAATCTATCTAAATATCAACTTGCAGATTCTACTCAAGGAATGTTTCCAAAATGCTGTATGCAAGCAATGGTTCAACTCTGTTAATTGAGGTCATACAGCACAAAGAAGTTTCTGAGAATGCTTCTGTCTAGATTTTATATGAAGATATCCCGTTTGCAACGAAATCCTCAAAGCTATCCAAATATCCACTTGCAGATTCTACAAAAAGATTGTTTCAAAACTGCTGTGTCAAAAGGAAGGTTCAACTCTGTTACTTGAGTAAACACATCAAAAAGAAGTTTCTGAGAATGCTTGTTTCTGGTTTTTATGAGAAGATATTTCCTTTTTCACCATAGGCCTCAAAGCGCTGCAAATGTCCACTTCCAAATATTACAAAAAGAGTGTTTCAAACCTGCTCTATGAAAGGAAGTTTTCAACTCTATGAGTGGAATGCAAACATCACAGAGAAGTTCCTGAGAATGCATCTGTCTTGAGTTTATATGAAGAAATTCCCGTTTCCAACGAAATCTTAAAATCTATCCACATATCCACCTGCAGATTCTACAAAGGGAGTGTTTCCAAAATGCTGTATCAAAACAAAGGTTCAACTGTGTTCGTTGAGGACACACATCACCAATAAGTTTCTGAGAATCCTTCTGTCTAGTTTTTATTTGAAGATATTTCCTTTCTCCCCATAGGCCTGCAAGCGCTTGAAATGTCCACTTCCAGATACTACAGAAAGAGTGTTTCAAACCTGCACTATGAAAAGGAATGTTCAATTCTGTGACTTGAATGCAAACATCAGAAAGAAGTTCCTGAGAATGCTTCTCTCTAGATTTTATACGTCATCCCGTTTCCAACGAAATCCACAAAGCTATCCAATTATCCACTTTCAGATTCCACAAAAAGAGTGTTTTAAAACTGCTCTGTAAAAAGAAATGTTCAACACTCTTAGTTGAATACACACATCTCAAACAAGTTTCTGAGAAGGCTTCCGTCTAGTTTTTATGGGAAGATATTTCCTTTTTCACCATAGGCCTCAAAGCGCTCGAAATCTCCACTTCCAGGGAGTGCAGAAAGAGTGTTTCAAACCTGCTCTGTAAAAGAATATTTAACTCTGTGACTTGAATGCAAACATCACAAAGCAGTTTCTGACAATGCTTCCGTCTAGATTTTTTATGAAGATATTCCCGTTTCCAACGAAATCTTCAAAGCTATCTAAATATCAACTTGCAGATTCTACTAAAGGAATGTTTCCAAAATGCTGTATCCAAACAAAGGTTCAACTCTGTGAATTGAGGACATACAGCACAAAGAAGTTTCTGAGAATGCTTCTGTCTAGTATTTAATATGAAGATAACCCGTTTCCAACGAAATCCTCAAAGCTATCCAAATATCCACTTGCAGATTCTACAAAAAGAGTGTTTCAAAACTGCTCTGTCAAAAGGATGGTTCAACACTGTTACATGAGTACACACAACACAAAGAAGTTTCTGAGAACGCTTCTTTCTGGTTTTTATGAGAGGATATTTCCTTTTTCACCATAGGCCTCAAAGCGCTCGAAATGTCCACTTCCAGGTAGTGCAGAAAGAGTGTTTCAAACCTGCTCTATGAAAGGAAGTGTTCAACTCCATGAGCTGAATGCAAACATCACAGAGAAGTTCCTGAGAATGCTTCTGTTTGATTTTATATGAAGAAATTCCCGTTTCCAACGAAATCTTCAGAGCTATCCACATATCCACATGCAGATTCTACAAAAGGAGTGTTTCCAAAATGCTGTATCAAAACCAAGGTTCAACTCTGTTAGTTGAGGACACACATCACAAATAAGTTTCTGAGAATGCTTCTGTCTAGATTTTATATGAAGATATCCCCTTTCCAACGAATCCCTCTAAGCTATCCAAATAGCCACCTGCAGATTCTACAAAAGGAGTGTTTCCAAAAGGCGGTATCAAAACAAAGTTTCAACTCTGTTAGTTGAGGACACACATCACAAATAAGTTTCTGAGGATGCTTCTGTCTAGTTTTTATTTGAAGATATCTCCTTTCTCACCATAGGCCTGAAAGCGCTTGAAATGTCCACTTCCAGATACTACAGAATGAGTGTTTCAAACCTGCTCTATAAAAGTGAATGTTCAATTCTGTGACTTCAATGCAAACATCACAAAGAAGTTCCTGAGAATGCTTCTCTCTAGATTTTATATGTAATCCCGCTTCCAACGAAATCCTCAATGCCATCCGAATATCCACTTTCTGATTCCACAAAAACAGTGTTTTAAAACGGCTCTGTAAAAACAAAAGTTCAACTCTGTTAGTTGAATACACCCATCACAAACAAGTTTCTGAGAATGCTTCTGTCTAGTTTTTATGGGAAGATATTTCCTTTTTCACCATAGGCCTCAAAGCGCTCGAAATGTCCACTTCCAGATAGTGCAGAAAGAGTGTTTCAAACGTGCTCTATAAAAGAGAATATTCAACTCCGTGACTTGAATGGGAACGTCACAAAGCAGTTTCTGAGAATGCTTCCGTCTAGATTTTATATGAAGATATTCCCGTTTCCAACGAAATCTTCAAAGCTATCTACATATCAACTTGCAGATTCTACTCAAGGAATGTTTCCAAAATGCTGTATCCAAGCCATGGTTCAACTCTGTTAATTGAGGACATACAACACAAAGAAGTTTCTGAGAATGCTTCTGTCTAGATTTTATATGAAGATATCCCGTTTCCAATGAAATCCTCAAAGCTATCCAAATATCCACTTGCAGATTCTACAAAAAGATTGTATCAAAACTGCTGTGTCAAAAGGAAGGTTCAACTCTGTTACTTGAGTACACACATCAAAAAGGACTTTCTGAGAATGCTTGTTTCTGGTTTTTATGAGAAGATATTTCCTTTTTCACCATAGGCCTCAAAGCGCTGCTAATGTCCACTTCCAAATACTACAGAAAGAGTGTTTCAAACCTGCTCTATGAAAGGAAGTTTTCAACTCTATGAGTGGAATGCAAACATCACAGAGAAGTTTCTGAGAATGCATCTGTCTTGAGTTTCTATGAAGAAATTCCCGTTTCCAACGAAATCTTAAAATCTATCCAAATATCCACCTGCAGATTCTACAAAAGGATTGTTTCCAAAATGCTGTATCAAAACAAAGGTTCAACTGTGTTCGTTTAGGACACACATCACAAATAAGTTTCTGAGAAGCCTTCTGTCTAGTTTTTATTTGAAGATATTTCCTTTCTCCCCATAGGCCTGAAAGCGCTTGAAATGTCCACTTCCAGATACTACAGAAAGAGTGTTTCAAACCTGCACTATGAAGAGGAATGTTCAATTCTGTGACTTGAATGCAAACATCAGAAAGAAGTTCCTGAGAATGCTTCTCTCTAGATTTTATACGTAATCCCGTTTCCAACGAAATCCACAAAGCTATCCAATTATCCACTTTCAGATTCCACAAAAAGAGTGTTTTAAAACTGCTCTGTAAAAAGAAATGTTCAACGCTCTTAATTGAATACACACATCTCAAACAAGTTTCTGAGAAGGCTTCCGTCTAGTTTTTCTGGGAAGATATTTCCTTTTTCACCATAGGCCTCAAAGCGCTCGAAATCTCCACTTCCATGTAGTGCAGAAAGAGTGTTTCAAACCTGCTCTATAAAAGACTATTTAACTCTGTGACTTGAATGCAAACATCACAAAGCAGTTTCTGACAATGCTTCCGTCCAGATTTTTTATGAAGATATTCCCGTTTCCAACGAAATCTTCAAAGCTATCTAAATATCCACTTGCAGATTCTACTAAAGGAATGTTTCCAAAATGCTGTATCCAAACAAAGGTTCAACTCTGTGAATTGAGGACATACAGCACAAAGAAGTTTCTGAGAATGCTTCTGTCTAGATTTAATATGAAGATAACCCGTTTCCAACGAAATCCTCAAAGCTATCCAAATATCCACTTGCAGATTCTACAAAAAGAGTGTTTCAAAACTGCTCTGTCAAAAGGATGGTTCAACAGTGTTACATGAGTACACACAACAAAAAGAAGTTTCTGAGAATGCTTCCTTCTGGTTTTTATGAGAAGATATTTCCTTTTTCACCATAGGCCTCAAAGCGCTCGAAATGTCCACTTCCAGGTAGTGCAGAAAGAGTGTTTCAAACCTGCTCTATGAAAGGAAGTGTTCAACTCCATGAGCTGAATGCAAACATCACAGAGAAGTTTCTGAGAATGCTTCTGTTTGATTCTATATGAAGAAATTCCCGATTCCAACGAAATCTTCAAAGCTATCCACATATCCACCTGCAGATTCTACAAAAGGAGTGTTTCCAAAATGCTGTATCAAAACCAAGGTTCAACTCTGTTAGTTGAGGGCACACATCACAAATAAGTTTCTGAGAATGCTTCTGTCTAGATTTTATATGAAGATATCCCCTTTCCAACGAATCCCTCTAAGCTATCCAAATAGCCACCTGCAGATTCTACAAAAGGAGTGTTTCCAAAAGGCTGTATCAAAACAAAGTTTCAACTCTGTTAGTTGAGGACACACATCACAAATAAGTTTCTGAGGATGCTTCTGTCTAGTTTTTATTTGAAGATATCTCCTTTCTCACCATAGGCCTGAAAGCGCTTGAAATGTCCACTTCCAGATACTACAGAATGAGTGTTTCAAACCTGCTCTATAAAAGTGAATGTTCAATTCTGTGACTTCAATGCAAACATCACAAAGAAGTTCCTGAGAATGCTTCTCTCTAGATTTTATATGTAATCCCGCTTCCAACGAAATCCTCAATGCCATCCGAATATCCACTTTCTGATTCCACAAAAAGAGTGTTTTAAAACGGCTCTGTAAAAACAAAAGTTCAACTCTGTTAGTTGAATACACCCATCACAAACAAGTTTCTGAGAATGCTTCTGTCTAGTTTTTATGGGAAGATATTTCCTTTTTCACCATAGGCCTCAAAGCGCTCGAAATGTCCACTTCCAGATAGTGCAGAAAGAGTGTTTCAAACGTGCTCTATAAAAGAGAATATTCAACTCCGTGACTTGAATGGGAACGTCACAAAGCAGTTTCTGAGAATGCTTCCGTCTAGATTTTATATGAAGATATTCCCGTTTCCAACGAAATCTTCAAAGCTATCTACATATCAACTTGCAGATTCTACTCAAGGAATGTTTCCAAAATGCTGTATCCAAGCCATGGTTCAACTCTGTTAATTGAGGACATACAGCACAAAGAAGTTTCTGAGAATGCTTCTGTCTAGATTTTATATGAAGATATCCCGTTTCCAATGAAATCCTCAAAGCTATCCAAATATCCACTTGCAGATTCTACAAAAAGATTGTTTCAAAACTGCTGTGTCAAAAGGAAGGTTCAACTCTGTTACTTGAGTACACACATCAAAAAGAACTTTCTGAGAATGCTTGTTTCTGGTTTTTATGAGAAGATATTTCCTTTTTCACCATAGGCCTCAAAGCGCTGCAAATGTCCACTTCCACATATTACAAAAAGAGTGTTTCAAACCTGCTCTATGAAAGGAAGTTTTCAACTCTATGAGTGGAATGCAAACATCACAGAGAAGTTTCTGAGAATGCATCTGTCTTGAGTTTCTATGCAGAAATTCCCGTTTCCAATGAAATCTTAAAATCTATCCAAATATCCACCTGCAGATTCTACAAAAGGAGTGTTTCCAAAATGCTGTATCAAAACAAAGGTTCAACTGTGTTCGCTTAGGACACACATCACAAATAAGTTTCTGAGAATCCTTCTGTCTAGTTTTTATTTGAAGATATTTCCTTTCTCCCCATAGGCCTGAAAGCGCTTGAAATGTCCACTTCCAGATACTACAGAAAGAGTGTTTCAAACCTGCACTCTGAAAAGGAATGTCAATTCTGTGACTTGAATGCAAACATCAGAAAGAAGTTCCTGAGAATGCTTCTCTCTAGATTTTATACGTCATCCCGTTTCTAACGAAATCCACAAAGCTACCCAAATATCCACTTTCAGATTCCACAAAAAGAGTGTTTTAAAATTGCTCTGTAACAGAAATGTTCAACTCTGTTAGTTGAATACACACATCACAAACAAGTTTCTGAGACGGCTTCTGTCTAGTTTTTATGGGAAGATATTTCCTTTTAACCATAGGCCTCAAAGAGCTCGAAATATCCACTTCCAGGTAGTGCCGAAAGAGTGTTTCAAACCTACTCTATAAAAGGGAATATTCAACTCTGTGACTTGAATGCAAACATCACAAAGCAGTTTCTGAGAATGCTTCCGTCTAGATTTTCTATGAAGATATTCCCGTTTCCAACGAAATCTTCAAAGCTATCTAAATATCAACTTGCAGATTCTACTAAAGGAATGTCTCCAAAATGCTGTATCCAAACAAAGGTTCAGCTCTGTGAATTGAGGACATACAGCACAAAGAAGTTTCTGAGAATGCTCCTGTCTGGATTTTATAGGAAGATAACCCGTTCCCAACGAAATCCTCAAAGCTATCCAAATATCCACTTGCAGATTCTACCAAAAGAGTGTTTCAAAACTACTCTGTCAAAAGGAAGGTTCAACACTGTTACTTGAGTACACACAACACAAAGAAGTTTCTGAGAATGCTTCTTTCTGGTTTTTATGAGAAGATATTTCCTTTTTCACCATAGGCCTCAAAGCGCTCGAAATGTCCGCTTCCAGGTAGTGCAGAAAGAGTGTTTCAAACCTGCTCTATGAAAGGAAGTGTTCAACTCTACTGAGTTGAATGCAAACATCACAGAGATGTTTCCGAGAATGCTTCTGTCTTGATTTTATATGAAGATATTCCGGTTTCCAACGAAATCTTCAAAGCTATCCAAATATCCACCTGCAGATTCTACAAAAGGAGTGTTTCCAAAATGCTGTATCAAAACAAAGGTTCAACTCTGTTAGTTGAGGACACACATCACAAAAAAGTTTCTGAGAATGGTTCTGTCTAGTTTTTATTTGAAGGTATTTCCTTTCTCTCCATAGGCCTGAAAGCGCTTGAAATGCCCACTTCCAGATACTAGAGAAAGAGTGTTTCAAACCTGCTCTATGAAAGGGAATGTTCAATTCTGTGACTTGAATGCAAACATCACAAAGAAGTTCCTGAGAATGCTTCTCTCTAGATATTATATGTCATCCCGTTTCCAACGAAATCCTCAAAGCTATCCAAATATCCACTTGCAGATTCTACAAAAAGAGTGTTTCTAAACTGCTCTGTCAAAAGGATGGTTCAACACTGTTACATGAGTACACACAACACAAAGAAGTTTCTGAGAATGCTTCTTTCTGGTTTCTATGAGAAGATATTTCCTTTTTCACCATAGGACTCAAAGCGCTCGAAATGTCCTCTTCCAGGTAGTGCAGAAAGAGTGTTTCAAACCTGCTCTATGAAAGGAAGTGTTCAACTCCATGAGCTGAATGCAAACATCACTGAGAAGTTTCTAAGAATGCTTCTGTTTGATTTTATATGAAGAAATTCCCGTTTCCAACGAAATCTTCAAAGCTATCCACATATCCACCTGCAGATTCTACAAAAGAAGTGTTTCCAAAATGCTGTATCAAAACCAAGGTTCAACTCTGTTAGTTGAGGACACACATCACAAATAAGTTTCTGAGAATGCTTCTGTCTAGATTTTATATGAAGATATCCCCTTTCCAACGAATCCCTCTAAGCTATCCAAATATCCACCTGCAGATTCTACAAAAAGAGTGTTTCCAAAATGCTGTATCAAAACAAAGTTTCAACTGCTGTTAGTTGAGGACACACATCACAAATAAGTTTGAGGATGCTTCTGTCTAGTTTTTATTCGAAGATATTTCCTTTCTCACCATAGGCCTGAAAGCGCTTGAAATGTCCACTTCCAGATACTACAGAATGAGTGTTTCAAACCTGCTCTATCAAAGTGAATGTTCAATTCTGTGACTTCAATGCAAACATCACAAAGAAGTTCCTGAGAATGCTTCTCTCTAGATTTTATATGTAATCCCGCTTCCAACGAAATCCTCAGAGCCATCCGAATATCCACTTTCTGATTCCACAAAAAGAGTGTTTTAAAACGGCTCTGTAAAAACAAAAGTTCAACTCTGTTAGTTGAATACACACATCACAAACAAGTTTCTGAGAATGCTTCTGTCTAGTTTTTATGGGAAGATATTTCCTTTTTCACCATAGGCCTCAAAGCGCTCGAAATGTCCACTTCCAGATAGCGCAGAAAGAGTGTTTCAAACGTGCTCTATAAAAGGGAATATTCAACTCTGTGACTTGAATGGAAACATCACAAAGCAGTTTCTGAGAATGCTCCCTCTAGATTTTATATGGAGATATTCCGTTTTCGAACGAAATCTTCAAATCTATCTAAATATCAACTTGCAGATTCTACTCAAGGAATGTTTCCAAAATGCTGTATGCAAGCAATGGTTCAACTCTGTTAATTGAGGTCATACAGCACAAAGAAGTTTCTGAGAATGCTTTCTGTCTAGATTTTATATGAAGATATCCCGTTTCCAACGAAATCCTCAAAGCTATCCAAATATCCACTTGCAGATTCTACAAAAAGATTGTTTCAAAACTGCTGTGTCAAAAGGAAGGTTCAACTCTGTTACTTGAGTACACACATCAAAAAGAAGTTTCTGAGAATGCTTGTTTCTGGTTTTTATGAGAAGATATTTCCTTTTTCACCATAGGCCTCAAAGCGCTGCAAATGTCCACTTCCAAATATTACAAAAAGAGTGTTTCAAACCTGCTCTATGAAAGGAAGTTTTCAACTCTATGAGTGGAATGCAAACATCACAGAGAAGTTTCTGAGAATGCATCTGTCTTGAGTTTCTATGCAGAAATTCCCGTTTCCAACGAAATCTTAAAATCTATCCAAATATCCACCTGCAGATCCTACAAAAGGAGTGTTTCCAAAATGCTGTATCAAAACAAAGGTTCAACTGTGTTCGTTTAGGACACACATCACAAATAAGTTTCTGAGAATCCTTCTGTCTAGTTTTTATTTGAAGATATTTCCTTTCTCCCCGTAGGCCTGAAAGCGCTTGAAATGTCCACTTCCAGATACTACAGAAAGAGTGTTTCAAACCTGCACTCTGAAAAGGAATGTTCAATTCTGTGACTTGAATGCAAACATCAGAAAGAAGTTCCTGAGAATGCTTCTCTCTAGATTTTATACGTCATCCCGTTTCCAACGAAATCCACAAAGCTATCCAATTATCCACTTTCAGATTCCACAGAAAGAGTGTTTTAAAATTGCTCTGTAACAGAAATGTTCAACTCTGGTAGTTGAATACACACATCACAAACAAGTTTCTGAGACGGCTTCTGTCTAGTTTTTATGGGAAGATATTTCCTTTTAACCATAGGCCTCAAAGAGCTCGAAATATCCACTTCCAGGTAGTGCCGAAAGAGTGTTTCAAACCTACTCTATAAAAGGGAATATTCAACTCTGTGACTTGAATGCAAACATCACAAAGCAGTTTCTGAGAATGCTTCCGTCTAGATTTTCTATGAAGATATTCCCGTTTCCAACGAAATCTTCAAAGCTATCTAAATATCAACTTGCAGATTCTACTAAAGGAATGTCTCCAAAATGCTGTATCCAAACAAAGGTTCAGCTCTGTGAATTGAGGACATACAGCACAAAGAAGTTTCTGAGAATGCTCCTGTCTGGATTTTATAGGAAGATAACCCGTTTCCAACGAAATCCTCAAAGCTATCCAAATATCCACTTGCAGATTCTACCAAAAGAGTGTTTCAAAACTACTCTGTCAAAAGGAAGGTTCAACACTGTTACTTGAGTACACACAACACAAAGAAGTTTCTGAGAATGCTTCTTTCTGGTTTTTATGAGAAGATATTTCCTTTTTCACCATAGGCCTCAAAGCGCTCGAAATGTCCGCTTCCAGGTAGTGCAGAAAGAGTGTTTCAAACCTGCTCTATGAAAGGAAGTGTTCAACTCTACTGAGTTGAATGCAAACATCACAGAGATGTTTCCGAGAATGCTTCTGTCTTGATTTTATAGGAAGATATTCCGGTTTCCAACGAAATCTTCAAAGCTATCCACATATCCACCTGCAGATTCTACAAAAGGAGTGTTTCCAAAATGCTGTATCAAAACAAAGGTTCAACTCTGTTAGTTGAGGACACACATCACAAATAAGTTTCTGAGAATGCTTCTGTCTAGTTTTTATTTGAAGGTATTTCCTTTCTCTCCATAGGCGTGAAAGCGCTTGAAATGCCCACTTCCAGATACTAGAGAAAGAGTGTTTCAAACCTGCTCTATGAAAGGGAATGTTCAATTCTGTGACTTGAATGCAAACATCACAAAGAAGTTCCTGAGAATGCTTCTCTCTAGATATTATATGTCATCCCGTTTCCAACGAAATCCTCAAAGCTATCCAAATATCCACTTGCAGATTCTACAAAAAGAGTGTTTCAAAACTGCTCTGTCAAAAGGATGGTTCAACACTGTTACATGAGTACACACAACACAAAGAAGTTTCTGAGAATGCTTCTTTCTGGTTTCTATGAGAAGATATTTCCTTTTTCACCATAGGACTCAAAGCGCTCGAAATGTCCTCTTCCAGGTAGTGCAGAAAGAGTGTTTCAAACCGGCTCTATGAAAGGAAGTGTTCAACTCCATGAACTGAATGCAAACATCACTGAGAAGTTTCTGAGAATGCTTCTGTTTGATTTTCTATGAAGAAATTCCCGTTTCCAACGAAATCTTCAGAGCTATCCACATATCCACCTGCAGATTCTACAAAAGGAGTGTTTCCAAAATGCTGTATCAAAACCAAAGTTCAACTCTGTTAGTTGAGGACACACATCACAAATAAGTTTCTGAGAATGCTTCTGTCTAGATTCTATATGAAGATATCCCCTTTCCAACGAATCCCTCTAAGCTATCCAAATATCCACCTGCAGATTCTACAAAAAGAGTGTTTCCAAAATGCTGTATCAAAACAAAGTTTCAACTCTGTTAGTTGAGGACACACATCACAAATAAGTTTGAGGATGCTTCTGTCTAGTTTTTATTCGAAGATATTTCCTTTCTCACCATAGGCCTGAAAGCGCTTGAAATGTCCACTTCCAGATACTACAGAATGAGTGTTTCAAACCTGCTCTATCAAAGTGAATGTTCAATTCTGTGACTTCAATGCAAACATCACAAAGAAGTTCCTGAGAATGCTTCTCTCTAGATTTTATATGTAATCCCGCTTCCAACGAAATCCTCAGAGCCATCCGAATATCCACTTTCTGATTCCACAAAAAGAGTGTTTTAAAACGGCTCTGTAAAAACAAAAGTTCAACTCTGTTAGTTGAATACACACATCACAAACAAGTTTCTGAGAATGCTTCTGTCTAGTTTTTATGGGAAGATATTTCCTTTTTCACCATAGGCCTCAAAGCGCTCGAAATGTCCACTTCCAGATAGCACAGAAAGAGTGTTTCAAACGTGCTCTATAAAAGGGAATATTCAACTCTGTGACTTGAATGGAAACATCACAAAGCAGTTTCTGAGAATGCTTCCCTCTAGATTTTATATGGAGATATTCCGTTTTCGAACGAAATCTTCAAATCTATCTAAATATCAACTTGCAGATTCTACTCAAGGAATGTTTCCAAAATGCTGTATGCAAGCAATGGTTCAACTCTGTTAATTGAGGTCATACAGCACAAAGAAGTTTCTGAGAATGCTTCTGTCTAGATTTTATATGAAGATATCCCGTTTCCAACGAAATCCTCAAAGCTATCCAAATATCCACTTGCAGATTCTACAAAAAGATTGTTTCAAAACTGCTGTGTCAAAAGGAAGGTTCAACTCTGTTACTTGAGTACACACATCAAAAAGAAGTTTCTGAGAATGCTTGTTTCTGGTTTTTATGAGAAGATATTTCCTTTTTCACCATAGGCCTCAAAGCGCTGCAAATGTCCACTTCCAAATATTACAAAAAGAGTGTTTCAAACCTGCTCTATGAAAGGAAGTTTTCAACTCTATGAGTGGAATGCAAACATCACAGAGAAGTTTCTGAGAATGCATCTGTCCTGAGTTTGTATGAAGAAATTCCCGTTTCCAACGAAATCTTAAAATCTATCCAAATATCCACCTGCAGATTCTACAAAGGGAGTGTTTCCAAAATGCTGTATCAAAACAAAGGTTCAACTGTGTTCGTTTAGGACACACATCACCAATAAGTTTCTGAGAATCCTTCTGTCTAGTTTTTATTTGAAGATATTTCCTTTCTCCCCATAGGCCTGAAAGCGCTTGAAATGTCCACTTCCAGATACTACAGAAAGAGTGTTTCAAACCTGCACTATGAAAAGGAATGTTCAATTCTGTGACTTGAATGCAAACATCAGAAAGAAGTTCCTGAGAATGCTTCTCTCTAGATTTTATACGTCATCCCGTTTCCAACGAAATCCACAAAGCTATCCAATTATCCACTTTCAGATTCCACAAAAAGAGTGTTTTAAAACTGCTCTGTAAAAAGAAATGTTCAACGCTCTTAGTTGAATACACACATCTCAAACAAGTTTCTGAGAAGGCTTCCGTCTAGTTTTTATGGGAAGATATTTCCTTTTTCACCATAGGCCTCAAAGCGCTCGAAATCTCCACTTCCAGGGAGTGCAGAAAGAGTGTTTCAAACGTGCTCTGCAAAAGAATATTTAACTCTGTGACTTGAATGCAAACATCACAAAGCAGTTTCTGACAATGCTTCCGTCTAGATTTTTTATGAAGATATTCCCGTTTCCAACGAAATCTTCAAAGCTATCTAAATATCAACTTGCAGATTCTACTAAAGGAATGTTTCCAAAATGCTGTATCTAAACAAAGGTTCAACTCTGTGAATTGAGGACATACAGCACAAAGAAGTTTCTGAGAATGCTTCTGTCTAGATTTAATATGAAGATAACCCGTTTCCAACGAAATCCTCAAACTATCCAAATATCCACTTGCAGATTCTACAAAAAGACTGTTTCAAAACTGCTCTGTCAAAAGGATGGTTCAACACTGTTACATGAGTACACACAACACAAAGAAGTTTCTGAGAACGCTTCTTTCTGGTTTTTATGAGAGGATATTTCCTTTTTCACCATAGGCCTCAAAGCGCTCGAAATGTCCACTTCTAGGTAGTGCAGAAAGAGTGTTTCAAACCTGCTCTATGAAAGGAAGTGTTCAACTACATGAGCTGAATGCAAACATCACAGAGAAGTTTCTGAGAATGCTTCTGTTTGATTTTATATGAAGAAATTCCCGTTTCCAACGAAATCTTCAAAGCTATCCACATATCCACCTGCAGATTCTTCAAAAGCAGTGTTTCCAAAATGCTGTATCAAAACCAAGGTTCAACTCTGTTAGTTGAGGACACACATCACAAATAAGTTTCTGAGAATGCTTCTGTCTAGATTTTATATGAAGATATCCCCTTTCCAACGAATCCCTCTAAGCTATCCAAGTATCCACCTGCAGATTCTACAAAAAGAGTGTTTCCAAAATGCTGTATCAAAACAAAGTTTCAACTCTGTTAGTTGAGGACACACATCACAAATAAGTTTCTGAGGATGCTTCTGTCTAGTTTTAATTTGAAGATATTTCCTTTCTCCCCATAGGCCTGAAAGCGCTTGAAATGTCCACTTCCAGATACTACAGCATGAGTGTTTCAAACCTGCTCTATCAAAGTGAATGTTCAATTCTGTGACTTCAATGCAAACATCACAAAGTAGTTCCTGAGAATGCTTCTCTCTAGATTTTATATGTAATCCCGCTTCCAACGAAATCCTCAAAGCCATCCGAATATCCACTTTCTGATTCCACAAAAAGATTGTTTTAAAACTGCTCTGTAAAAACAAAAGTTCAAGTCTGTTAGTTGAATACACACATCACAAACAAGTTTCTGAGAATGCTTCTGTCTAGTTTTTATGGGAAGATATTTCCTTTTTCACCATAGGCCTCAAAGCGCTCGAAATGTCCACTTCCAGATAGTGCAGAAAGAGTGTTTCAAACGTGCTCTATAAAAGAGAATATTCAACTCTGTGACTTGAATGGAAACATCACAAAGCAGTTTCTGAGAATGCCACCGTCTAGATTTTATATGAAGATATTCCCGTTTCCAACGAAATCTTCAAATCTATCTAAATATCAACTTGCAGATTCTACTAAAGGAATGTTTCCAAAATGCTGTATCCAAGCAATGGTTCAACTCTGTTAATTGAGGACATACAGCACAAAGAAGTTTCTGAGAATGCTTCTGTCTAGATTTTATATGAAGATATCCCGTTTCCAACGAAATCCTCAAAGCTATCCAAATATCCACTTGCAGATTCTACAAAAAGATTGTTTCAAAACTGCTGTGTCAAGAGGAAGGTTCAACTCTGTTACTTGAGTACACACATCAAAAAGAAGTTTCTGAGAATGCTTGTTTCTGGTTTTTATGAGAAGATATTTCCTTTTTCACCATAGACCTCAAAGCGCTGCAAATGTCCACTTCCAAATATTACAAAAGAGTGTTTCAAACCTGCTCTATGAAAGGAAGTTTTCAACTCTATGAGTGGAATGCAAACATCACAGAGAAGTTTCTGAGAATGCATCTGTCTTGAGTTTATATGAAGAAATTCCCGTTTCCAACGAAATCTTAAAATCTATCCAAATATCCACCTGCAGATTCTACAAAGGGAGTGTTTCCAAAATGCTGTATCAAAACAAAGGTTCAACTGTGTTCGTTTAGGACACACATCACCAATAAGTTTCTGAGAATCCTTCTGTCTAGTTTTTATTTGAAGATATTTCCTTTCTCCCCGTAGGCCTGAAAGCGCTTGAAATGTCCACTTCCAGATACTACAGAAAGAGTGTTTCAAACCTGCACTCTGAAAAGGAATGTTCAATTCTGTGACTTGAATGCAAACATCAGAAAGAAGTTCCCTGAGAATGCTTTCTCTCTAGATTTTATACGTCATCCCGTTTCCAACGAAATCCACAAAGCTATCCAATTATCCACTTTCAGATTCCACAAAAAGAGTGTTTTAAAACTGCTGTGTAGAAAGAAATGTTCAACGCTCTTAGTTGAATACACACATCTCAAACAAGTTTCTGAGAAGGCTTCCGTCTAGTTTTTATGGGAAGATATTTCCTTTTTCACCAAAGGCCTCAAAGCGCTCGAAATCTCCACTTCCAGGGAGTGCAGAAAGAGTGTTTCATACCTGCTCTGTAAAAGAATATTTAACTCTGTGACTTGAATGCAAACATCACAAAGCAGTTTCTGACAATGCTTCCGTCTAGATTTTTTATGAAGATATTCCCGTTTCCAACGAAATCTTCAAAGCTATCTAAATATCAACTTGCAGATTCTACTAAAGGAATGTTTCCAAAATGCTGTATCCAAACAAAGGTTCAACTCTGTGAATTGAGGACATACAGCACAAAGAAGTTTCTGAGAATGCTTCTGTCTAGATTTAATATGAAGATAACCCGTTTCCAACGAAATCCTCAAAGCTATCCAAATATCCACTTGCAGATTCTACAAAAAGAGTGTTTCAAAACTGCTCTGTCAAAAGGATGGTTCAACACTGTTACATGAGTACACACAACACAAAGAAGTTTCTGAGAACGCTTCTTTCTGGTTTTTATGAGAAGATATTTCCTTTTTCACCATAGGCCTCAAAGCGCTCGAAATGTCCACTTCCTGGTAGTGCAGAAAGAGTGTTTCAAAGCTGCTCTCTGAAAGGAAGTGTTCAACTCCATGAGCTGAATGCAAACATCACAGAGAAGTTTCTGAGAATGCTTCTGTTTGATTTTATATGAAGAAATTCCCGTTTCCAACGAAATCTTCAAAGCTATCCACATATCCACCTGCAGATTCTTCAAAAGGAGTGTTTCCAAAATGCTGTATCAAAACCAAGGTTCAACTCTGTTAGTTGAGGACACACATCACAAATAAGTTTCTGAGAATGCTTCTGTCTAGATTTTATATGAAGATATCCCCTTTCCAACGAATCCCTCTAAGCTATCCAAATATCCACCTGCAGATTCTACAAAAAGAGTGTTTCCAAAATGCTGTATCAAAATAAAGTTTCAACTCTGTTAGTTGAGGACACACATCACAAATAAGTTTCTGAGGATGCTTCTGTCTAGTTTTAATTTGAAGATATTTCCTTTCTCACCATAGGCCTGAAAGCGCTTGAAATGTCCACTTCCAGATACTACAGCATGAGTGTTTCAAACCTGCTCTATCATAGTGAATGTTCAATTCTGTGACTTCAATGCAAACATCACAAAGTAGTTCCTGAGAATGCTTCTCTCTAGATTTTATATGTAATCCCGCTTCCAACGAAATCCTCAAAGCCATCCGAATATCCACTTTCTGATTCCACAAAAAGATTGTTTTAAAACTGCTCTGTAAAAACAAAAGTTCAAGTCTGTTAGTTGAATACACACATCACAAACAAGTTTCTGAGAATGCTTCTGTCTAGTTTTTATGGGAAGATATTTCCTTTTTCACCATAGGCCTCAAAGCGCTCGAAATGTCCACTTCTAGATAGTGCAGAAAGAGTGTTTCAAACGTGCTCTATAAAAGAGAATATTCAACTCTGTGACTTGAATGGAAACATCACAAAGCAGTTTCTGAGAATGCCTCCGTCTAGATTTTATATGAAGATATTCCCGTTTCCAACGAAATCTTCAAATCTATCTAAATATCAACTTGCAGATTCTACTAAAGGAATGTTTCCAAAATGCTGTATCCAAGCAATGGTTCAACTCTGTTAATTGAGGACATACAGCACAAAGAAGTTTCTGAGAATGCTTCTTTCTAGATTTTATATGAAGATATCCCGTTTCCAACGAAATCCTCAAAGCTATCCAAATATCCACTTGCAGATTCTACAGAAAGATTGTTTCAAAACTGCTGTGTCAAAAGGAAGGTTCAACTCTGTTACTTGAGTACACACATCAAAAAGCAGTTTCTGAGAATGCTTGTTTCTGGTTTTTATGAGAAGATATTTCCTTTTTCACCATAGGCCTCAAAGCGCTGCAAATGTCCACTTCCAAATATTACAAAAAGAGTGTTTCAAACCTGCTCTATGAAAGGAAGTTTTCAACTCTATGAGTGGAATGCAAACATCACAGAGAAGTTTCTGAGAATGCATCTGTCTTGAGTTTATATGAAGAAATTCCCGTTTCCAATGAAATCTTAAAATCTATCCAAATATCCACCTGCAGATTCTACAAAAGGAGTGTTTCCAAAATGCTGTATCAAAACAAAGGTTCAACTGTGTTCGTTTAGGACACACATCACAAATAAGTTTCTGAGAATCCTTCTGTCTAGTTTTTATTTGAAGATATTTCCTTTCTTCCCATAGGCCTGAAAGCGCTTGAAATGTCCACTTCCAGATACTACAGAAAGAGTGTTTCAATCCTGCACTATGAAAAGGAATGTTCAATTCTGTGACTTGAATGCAAACATCAGAAAGAAGTTCCTGAGAATGCTTCTCTCTAGATTTTAAACGTAATCCCGTTTCCAACGAAATCCACAAAGCTATCCAATTATCCACTTTCAGATTCCACCAAAAGACTGTTTTAAAACTGCTCTGTAAAAAGAAATGTTCAACGCTCTTAGTTGAATACACACATCTCAAACAAGTTTCTGAGAAGGCTTCCGTCTAGTTTTTATGGGAAGATATTTCCTTTTTCACCATAGGCCTCAAAGCGCTCGAAATCTCCACTTCCAGGGAGTGCAGAAAGAGTGTTTCAAACCTGCTCTATAAAAGAATATTTAACTCTGTGACTTGAATGCAAACATCACAGAGCAGTTTCTGACAATGCTTCCGTCTAGATTTTTTATGAAGATATTCCCGTTTCCAACGAAATCTTCAAAGCTATCTAAATATCAACTTGCAGATTGTACTAAAGGAATGCTTCCAAAATGCTGTATCCAAACAAAGGTTCAACTCTGTGAATTGAGGACATACAGCACAAAGAAGTTTCTGAGAATGCTTCTGTCTAGATTTAATATGAAGATAACCCGTTTCCAACGAAATCCTCAAAGCTATCCAAATATCCACTTGCAGATTCTACAAAAAAAGTGTTTCAAAACTGCTCTGTCAAAAGGATGGTTCAACACTGTTACATGAGTACACACAACACAAAGAAGTTTCTGAGAACTCTTCTTTCTGGTTTTTATGAGAAGATATTTCCTTTTTCACCATAGGCCTCAAAGCGCTCGAAATGTCCACTTCCAGGTAGTGCAGAAAGAGTGTTTCAAACCTGCTCTATGAAAGGAAGTGTTCAACTCCATGAGCTGAATGCAAACATCACAGAGAAGTTCCTGAGAATGCTTCTGTTTGATTTTATATGAAGAAATTCCCGTTTCCAACGAAATCTTCAAAGCTATCCACATATCCACCTGCAGATTCTTCAAAAGGAGTGTTTCCAAAATGCTGTATCAAAACCAAGGTTCAACTCTGTTAGTTGAGGACACACATCACAAATAAGTTTCTGAGAATGCTTCTGTCTACATTTTATATGAATTTATCCCCTTTCCAACGAATCCCTCTAAGCTATCCAAGTATCCACCTGCAGATTCTACAAAAAGAGTGTTTCCAAAATGCTGTATCAAAACAAAGTTTCAACTCTGTTAGTTGAGGACACACATCACAAATAAGTTTCTGAGGATGCTTCTGTCTAGTTTTAATTTGAAGATATTTCCTTTCTCCCCATAGGCCTGAAAGCGCTTGAAATGTCCACTTCCAGATACTACAGAATGAGTGTTTCAAACCTGCTCTATCAAAGTGAATGTTCAATTCTGTGACTTCAATGCAAACATCACAAAGTAGTTCCTGAGAATGCTTCTCTCTACATTTTATATGTAATCCCGCTTCCAACGAAATCCTCAAAGCCATCCGAATATCCACTTTCTGATTCCACAAAAAGATTGTTTTAAAACTGCTCTGTAAAAACAAAAGTTCAAGTCTGTTAGTTGAATACACACATCACAAACAAGTTTCTGAGAATGCTTCTGTCTAGTTTTTATGGGAAGATATTTCCTTTTTCACCATAGGCCTCAAAGCGCTCGAAATGTCCACTTCCAGATAGTGCAGAAAGAGTGTTTCAAACGTGCTCTATAAAAGAGAATATTCAACTCTGTGACTTGAATGGAAACATCACAAAGCAGTTTCTGAGAATGCCTCCGTCTAGATTTTATATGAAGATATTCCCGTTTCCAACGAAATCTTCAAATCTATCTAAATATCAACTTGCAGATTCTACTAAAGGAATGTTTCCAAAACGCTGTATCCAAGAAATGGTTCAACTCTGTTAATTGAGGACATACAGCACAAAGAAGTTTCTGAGAATGCTTCTGTCTAGATTTTATATGAAGATATCCCGTTTCCAACGAAATCCTCAAAGCTATCCAAATATCCACTTGCAGATTCTACAAAAAGATTGTTTCAAAACTGCTGTGTCAAAAGGGAAGGTTCAACTCTGTTACTTGAGTACACACATCAAAAAGAAGTTTCTGAGAATGCTTGTTTCTGGTTTTTATCAGAAGATATTTCGTTTTTCACCATAGGCCTCAAAGCGCTGCAAATGTCCACTTCCAAATATTACAAAAAGAGTGTTTCAAACCTGCTCTATGAAAGGAAGTTTTCAACTCTATGAGTGGAATGCAAACATCACAGAGAAGTTTCGGAGAATGCATCTGTCTTGAGTTTATATGAAGAAATTCCCGTTTCCAGCGAAATCTTAAAATCTATCCAAATATCCACCTGCAGATTCTACAAAGGGAGTGTTTCCAAAATGCTGTATCAAAACAAAGGTTCAACTGTGTTCGTTTAGGACACACATCACCAATAAGTTTCTGAGAATCCTTCTGTCTAGTTTTTATTTGAAGATATTTCCTTTCTCCCCATAGGCCTGAAAGCGCTTGAAATGTCCACTTCCAGATACTACAGAAAGAGTGTTTCAAACCTGCACTATGAAAAGGAATGTTCAATTCTGTGACTTGAATGCAAACATCAGAAAGAAGTTCCTGAGAATGCTTCTCTCTAGATTTTATACGTCATCCCGTTTCCAACGAAATCCACAAAGCTATCCAATTATCCACATTCAGATTCCACAAAAAGAGTGTTTTAAAACTGCTCTGTAAAAAGAAATGTTCAACGCTCTTAGTTGAATACACACATCTCAAACAAGTTTCTGAGAAGGCTTCCGTCTATTTTTTATGGTAAGATATTTCCTTTTTCACCATAGGCCTCAAAGCGCTCGAAATCTCCACTTCCAGGGAGTGCAGAAAGATTGTTTCAAACCTGCTCTGTAAAAGAATATTTAACTCTGTGACTTGAATGCAAACATCACAAAGCAGTTTCTGACAATGCTTCCGTCTAGATTTTTTATGAAGATATTCCCGTTTCCAACGAAATCTTCAAAGCTATCTAAATATCAACTTGCAGATTCTACTAAAGGAATGTTTCGAAAATGCTGTATCCAAACAAAGGTTCAACTCTGTGAATTGAGGACATACAGCACAAAGAAGTTTCTGAGAATGCTTCTGTCTAGATTTAATATGAAGATAACCCGTTTCCAACGAAATCCTCAAAGCTATCCAAATATCCACTTGCAGATTCTACAAAAAGAGTGTTTCAAAACTGCTCTGTCAAAAGGATGGTTCAACACTGTTACATGAGTACACACAACACAAAGAAGTTTCTGAGAACGCTTCTTTCTGGTTTTTATGAGAGGATATTTCCTTTTTCACCGTAGGCCTCAAAGCGCTCGAAATGTCCACTTCCAGGTAGTGCAGAAAGAGTGTTTCAAACCTGCTCTATGAAAGGAAGTGTTCAACTCCATGAGCTGAATGCAAACATCACAGAGAAGTTCCTGAGAATGCTTCTGTTTGATTTTATATGAAGAAATTCCCGTTTCCAACGAAATCTTCAAAGCTATCCACATATCCACCTGCAGATTCTTCAAAAGGAGTGTTTCCAAAATGCTGTATCAAAACCAAGGTTCAACTCTGTTAGTTGAGGACACACATCACAAATAAGTTTCTGAGAATGCTTCTGTCTAGATTTTATATGAAGATATCCCCTTTCCAACGAATCCCTCTAAGCTATCCAAATATCCACCTGCAGATTCTACAAAAAGAGTGTTTCCAAAATGCTGTATCAAAACAAAGTTTCAACTCTGTTAGTTGAGGACACACATCACAAATAAGTTTCTGAGGATGCTTCTCTCTAGTTTTTATTTGAAGATATTTCCTTTCTCCCCATAGGCCTGAAAGCGCTTGAATTGTCCGCTTCCAGATACTACAGAATGAGTGTTTCAAACCTGCTCTATCAAAGTGAATGTTCAATTCTGTGACTTCAATGCAAACATCACAAAGAAGTTCCTGAGAATACTTCTCTCTAAATTTTATATGTAATCCCGCTTCCAACGATATCCTCAAAGCCATCCGAATATCTACTTTCTGATTCCACAAAAAGATTGTCTTAAAACTGCTCTGTAAAAACAAAAGTTCAAGTCTGTTAGTTGAATACACACATCATAAACAAGTTTCTGAGAATGCTTCCGTCTAGTTTTTATGGGAAGATATTTCCTTTTTCACCATAGGCCTCAAAGCGCTCGAAATCTCCACTTCCAGGGAGTGCAGAAAGAGTGTTTCAAACCTGCTCTTTAAAAGAATATTTAACTCTGTGACTTGAATGCAAACATCACAAAGCAGTTTCTGACAATGCTTCCGTCTAGATTTTTTATGAAGATATTCCCGTTTCCAACGAAATCTTCCAAGCTATCTAAATATCAACTTGCAGATTCTACTAAAGGAATGTTTCCAAAATGCTGTATCCAAACAAAGGTTCAACTCTGTGAATTGAGGACATACAGCACAAAGAAGTTTCTGAGAATGCTTCTGTCTAGATTTAATATGAAGATAACCCGTTTCCAACGAAATCCTCAAAGCTATCCAAATATCCACTTGCAGATTCTACAAAAAGAGTGTTTCAAAACTGCTCTGTCAAAAGGATGGTTCAACACTGTTACATGAGTACACACAACACAAAGAAGTTTCTGAGAACGCTTCTTTCTGGTTTTTATGAGAGGATATTTCCTTTTTCACCATAGGCCTCAAAGCGCTCGAAATGTCCACTTCCAGGTAGTGCAGAAAGAGTGTTTCAAACCTGCTCTATGAAAGGAAGTGTTCAACTCCATGAGCTGAATGCAAACATCACAGAGAAGTTTCTGAGAATGCTTCTGTTTGATTTTATATGAAGAAATTCCCGTTTCCAACGAAATCTTCAGAGCTATCCACATATCCACATGCAGATTCTACAAAAGGAGTGTTTCCAAAATGCTGTATCAAAACCAAGGTTCAACTCTGTTAGTTGAGGACACACATCACAAATAAGTTTCTGAGAATGCTTCTGTCTAGATTTTATATGAAGATATCCCCTTTCCAACGAATCCCTCTAAGCTATCCAAATATCCACCTGCAGATTCTACAAAAAGAGTGTTTCCAAAATGCTGTATCAAAACAAAGTTTCAACTCTGTTAGTTGAGGACACACATCACCAATTAGTTTGAGGATGCTTCTGTCTAGTTTTTATTCGAAGATATTTCCTTTCTCACCATAGGCCTGAAAGCGCTTGAAATGTCCACTTCCAGATACTACAGAATGAGTGTTTCAAACCTGCTCTATCAAAGTGAATGTTCAATTCTGTGACTTCAATGCAAACATCAGAAAGAAGTTCCTGAGAATGCTTCTCTCTAGATTTTATACGTAATCCCGCTTCCAACGAAATCCTCAGAGCCATCCGAATATCCACTTTCTGATTCCACAAAAAGAGTGTTTTAAAACGGCTCTGTAAAAACAAAAGTTCAACTCTGTTAGTTGAATACACACATCACAAACAAGTTTCTGAGAATGCTTCTGTCTAGTTTTTATGGGAAGATATTTCCTTTTTCACCATAGGCCTCAAAGCGCTCGAAATGTCCGCTTCCAGATAGTGCAGAAAGAGTGTTTCAAACGTGCTCTATAAAAGGGAATATTCAACTCTGTGACTTGAATGGAAACATCACAAAGCAGTTTCTGAGAATGCTTCCCTCTAGATTTTATATGGAGATATTCCGTTTTCGAACGAAATCTTCAAATCTATCTAAATATCAACTTGCAGATTCTACTCAAGGAATGTTTCCAAAATGCTGTATGCAAGCAATGGTTCAACTCTGTTAATTGAGGTCATACAGCACAAAGAAGTTTCTGAGAATGCTTCTGTCTAGATTTTATATGAAGATATCCCGTTTCCAACGAAATCCTCAAAGCTATCCAAATATCCACTTGCAGATTCTACAAAAAGATTGTTTCAAAACTGCTGTGTCAAAAGGAAGGTTCAACTCTGTTACTTGAGTACACACATCAAAAAGAAGTTTCTGAGAATGCTTGTTTCTGGTTTTTATGAGAAGATATTTCCTTTTTCACCATAGGCCTCAAAGCGCTGCAAATGTCCACTTCCAAATATTACAAAAAGAGTGTTTCAAACCTGCTCTATGAAAGGAAGTTTTCAACTCTATGAGTGGAATGCACACATCACAGAGAAGTTTCTGAGAATGCATCTGTCTTGAGTTTCTATGCAGAAATTCCCGTTTCCAACGAAATCTTAAAATCTATCCAAATATCCACCTGCAGATCCTACAAAAGGAGTGTTTCCAAAATGCTGTATCAAAACAAAGGTTCAACTGTGTTCGTTTAGGACACACATCACAAATAAGTTTCTGAGAATCCTTCTGTCTAGTTTTTATTTGAAGATATTTCCTTTCTCCCCGTAGGCCTGAAAGCGCTTGAAATGTCCACTTCCAGATACTACAGAAAGAGTGTTTCAAACCTGCACTCTGAAAAGGAATGTTCAATTCTGTGACTTGAATGCAAACATCAGAAAGAAGTTCCTGAGAATGCTTCTCTCTAGATTTTATACGTCATCCCGTTTCCAACGAAATCCACAAAGCTATCCAATTATCCACTTTCAGATTCCACAGAAAGAGTGTTTTAAAATTGCTCTGTAACAGAAATGTTCAACTCTGGTAGTTGAATACACACATCACAAACAAGTTTCTGAGACGGCTTCTGTCTAGTTTTTATGGGAAGATATTTCCTTTTAACCATAGGCCTCAAAGAGCTCGAAATATCCACTTCCAGGTAGTGCCGAAAGAGTGTTTCAAACCTACTCTATAAAAGGGAATATTCAACTCTGTGACTTGAATGCAAACATCACAAAGCAGTTTCTGAGAATGCTTCCGTCTAGATTTTCTATGAAGATATTCCCGTTTCCAACGAAATCTTCAAAGCTATCTAAATATCAACTTGCAGATTCTACTAAAGGAATGTCTCCAAAATGCTGTATCCAAACAAAGGTTCAGCTCTGTGAATTGAGGACATACAGCACAAAGAAGTTTCTGAGAATGCTCCTGTCTGGATTTTATATGAAGATAACCCGTTTCCAACGAAATCCTCAAAGCTATCCAAATATCCACTTGCAGATTCTACCAAAAGAGTGTTTCAAAACTGCTCTGTCAAAAGGAAGGTTCAACACTGTTACTTGAGTACACACAACACAAAGAAGTTTCTGAGAATGCTTCTTTCTGGTTTTTATGAGAAGATATTTCCTTTTTCACCATAGGCCTCAAAGAGCTCGAAATGTCCGCTTCCAGGTAGGGCAGAAAGAGTGTTTCAAACCTGCTCTATGAAAGGACGTGTTCAACTCTACTGAGTTGAATGCAAACATCACAGAGATGTTTCCGAGAATGCTTCTGTCTTGATTTTATAGGAAGATATTCCGGTTTCCAACGAAATCTTCAAAGCTATCCACATATCCACCTGCAGATTCTACAAAAGGAGTGTTTCCAAAATGCTGTATCAAAACAAAGGTTCAACTCTGTTAGTTGAGGACACACATCACAAATAAGTTTCTGAGAATGCTTCTGTCTAGTTTTTATTTGAAGGTATTTCCTTTCTCTCCATAGGCCTGAAAGCGCTTGAAATGCCCACTTCCAGATACTAGAGAAAGAGTGTTTCAAACCTGCTCTATGAAAGGGAATGTTCAATTCTGTGACTTGAATGCAAACATCACAAAGAAGTTCCTGAGAATGCTTCTCTCTAGATATTATATGTCATCCCGTTTCCAACGAAATCCTCAAAGCTATCCAAATATCCACTTGCAGATTCTACAAAAAGAGTGTTTCAAAACTGCTCTGTCAAAAGGATGGTTCAACACTGTTACATGAGTACACACAACACAAAGAAGTTTCTGAGAATGCTTCTTTCTGGTTTCTATGAGAAGATATTTCCTTTTTCACCATAGGACTCAAAGCGCTCGAAACGTCCTCTTCCAGGTAGTGCAGAAAGAGTGTTTCAAACCTGCTCTATGAAAGGAAGTGTACAACTCCATGAGCTGAATGCAAACATCACTGAGAAGTTTCTGAGAATGCTTCTGTTTGATTTTATATGAAGAAATTCCCGTTTCCAACGAAATCTTCAGAGCTATCCACATATCCACCTGCAGATTCTACAAAAGGAGTGTTTCCAAAATGCTGTATCAAAACCAAGGTTCAACTCTGTTAGTTGAGGACACACATCACAAATAAGTTTCTGAGAATGCTTCTGTCTAGATTTTATATGAAGATATCCCCTTTCCAACGAATCCCTCTAAGCTATCCAAATATCCACCTGCAGATTCTACAAAAAGAGTGTTTCCAAAATGCTGTATCAAAACAAAGTTTCAACTCTGTTAGTTGAGGACACACATCACAAATAAGTTTCTGAGGATGCTTCTGTCTAGTTTTTATTCGAAGATATTTCCTTTCTCACCATAGGCCTGAAAGCGCTTGAAATGTCCACTTCCAGATACTACAGAATGAGTGTTTCAAACCTGCTCTATAAAAGTGAATGTTGAATTCCGTGACTTCAATGCAAACATCACAAAGAAGTTCCTGAGAATGCTTCTCTCTAGATTTTATACGTAATCCCGCTTCCAACGAAATCCTCAGAGCCATCCGAATATCCACTTTCTGATTCCACAAAAAGAGTGTTTTAAAACGGCTCTGTAAAAACAAAAGTTCAACTCTGTTAGTTGAATACACACATCACAAACAAGTTTCTGAGAATGCTTCTGTCTAGTTTTTATGGGAAGATATTTCCTTTTTCACCATAGGCCTCAAAGCGCTCGAAATGTCCGCTTCCAGATAGTGCAGAAAGAGTGTTTCAAACGTGCTCTATAAAAGGGAATATTCAACTCTGTGACTTGAATGGAAACATCACAAAGCAGTTTCTGAGAATGCTTCCCTTTAGATTTTATATGGAGATATTCCCTTTTCCAACGAAATCTTCAAATCTATCTAAATATCAACTTGCAGATTCTACTCAAGGAATGTTTCCAAAATGCTGTATCCAGGCAATGGTTCAACTCTGTTAATTGAGGACATACAGCACAAAGAAGTTTCTGAGAATGCTTCTGTCTAGATTTTATATGAAGATATCCCGTTTCCAACGAAATCCTCAAAGCTATCCAAATATCCACTTGCAGATTCTACAAAAAGATTGTTTCAAAACTGCTGTGTCAAGAGGAAGGTTCAACTCTGTTACTTGAGTACACACATCAAAAAGAAGTTTCTGAGAATGCTTGTTTCTGGTTTTTATGAGAAGATATTTCCTTTTTCACCATAGGCCTCAAAGCGCTGCAAATGTCCACTTCCAAATATTACAAAAAGAGTGTTTCAAACCTGCTCTATGAAAGGAAGTTTTCAACTCTATGAGTGGAATGCAAACATCACAGAGAAGTTTCTGAGAATGCATCTGTCTTGAGCTTCTATGAAGAAATTCCCGTTTCCAACGAAATCTTAAAATCTATCCAAATATCCACCTGCAGATCCTACAAAAGGAGTGTTTCCAAAATGCTGTATCAAAACAAAGGTTCAACTGTGTTCGTTTAGGACACACATCACAAATAAGTTTCTGAGAATCCTTCTCTCTAGTTTTTATTTGAAGATATTTCCTTTCTCCCCATAGGCCTGAAAGCGCTTGAAATGTCCACTTCCAGATACTACAGAAAGAGTGTTTCAAACCTGCACTCTGAAAAGGAATGTTCAATTCTGTGACTTGAATGCAAACATCAGAAAGAAGTTCCTGAGAATGCTTCTCTCTAGATTTTATACGTCATCCCGTTTCCAACGAAATCCACAAAGCTATCCAATTATCCACTTTCAGATTCCACAGAAAGAGTGTTTTAAAATTGCTCTGTAACAGAAATGTTCAACTCTGGTAGTTGAATACACACATCACAAACAAGTTTCTGAGACGGCTTCTGTCTAGTTTTTATGGGAAGATATTTCCTTTTAACCATAGGCCTCAAAGAGCTCGAAATATCCACTTCCAGGTAGTGCCGAAAGAGTGTTTCAAACCTACTCTATAAAAGGGAATATTCAACTCTGTGACTTGAATGCAAACATCACAAAGCAGTTTCTGAGAATGCTTCCGTCTAGATTTTCTATGAAGATATTCCCGTTTCCAACGAAATCTTCAAAGCTATCTAAATATCAACTTGCAGATTCTACTAAAGGAATGTCTCCAAAATGCTGTATCCAAACAAAGGTTCAGCTGTGTGAATTGAGGACATACAGCACAAAGAAGTTTCTGAGAATGCTCCTGTCTGGATTTTATAGGAAGATAACCCGTTTCCAACGAAATCCTCAAAGCTATCCAAATATCCACTTGCAGATTCTACCAAAAGAGTGTTTCAAAACTACTCTGTCAAAAGGAAGGTTCAACACTGTTACTTGAGTACACACAACACAAAGAAGTTTCTGAGAATGCTTCTTTCTGGTTTTTATGAGAAGATATTTCCTTTTTCACCATAGGCCTCAAAGCGCTCGAAATGTCCGCTTCCAGGTAGTGCAGAAAGAGTGTTTCAAACCTGCTCTATGAAAGGAAGTGTTCAACTCTACTGAGTTGAATGCAAACATCACAGAGATGTTTCCGAGAATGCTTCTGTCTTGATTTTATATGAAGATATTCCGGTTTCCAACGAAATCTTCAAAGCTATCCAAATATCCACCTGCAGATTCTACAAAAGGAGTGTTTCCAAAATGCTGTATCAAAACAAAGGTTCAACTCTGTTAGTTGAGGACACACATCACAAATAAGTTTCTGAGAATGCTTCTGTCTAGTTTTTATTTGAAGGTATTTCCTTTCTCTCCATAGGCCTGAAAGCGCTTGAAATGCCCACTTCCAGATACTAGAGAAAGAGTGTTTCAAACCTGCTCTATGAAAGGGAATGTTCAATTCTGTGACTTGAATGCAAACATCACAAAGAAGTTCCTGAGAATGCTTCTCTCTAGATATTATATGTCATCCCGTTTCCAACGAAATCCTCAAAGCTATCCAAATATCCACTTGCAGATTCTACAAAAAGAGTGTTTCAAAACTGCTCTGTCAAAAGGATGGTTCAACACTGTTACATGAGTACACACAACACAAAGAAGTTTCTGAGAATGCTTCTTTCTGGTTTCTATGAGAAGATATTTCCTTTTTCACCATAGGACTCAAAGCGCTCGAAATGTCCTCTTCCAGGTAGTGCAGAAAGAGTGTTTCAAACCGGCTCTATGAAAGGAAGTGTTCAACTCCATGAACTGAATGCAAACATCACTGAGAAGTTTCTGAGAATGCTTCTGTTTGATTTTATATGAAGAAATTCCCGTTTCCAACGAAATCTTCAGAGCTATCCACATATCCACCTGCAGATTCTACAAAAGGAGTGTTTCCAAAATGCTGTATCAAAACCAAAGTTCAACTCTGTTAGTTGAGGACACACATCACAAATAAGTTTCTGAGAATGCTTCTGTCTAGATTCTATATGAAGATATCCCCTTTCCAACGAATCCCTCTAAGCTATCCAAATATCCACCTGCAGATTCTACAAAAAGAGTGTTTCCAAAATGCTGTATCAAAACAAAGTTTCAACTCTGTTAGTTGAGGACACACATCACAAATAAGTTTGAGGATGCTTCTGTCTAGTTTTTATTCGAAGATATTTCCTTTCTCACCATAGGCCTGAAAGCGCTTGAAATGTCCACTTCCAGATACTACAGAATGAGTGTTTCAAACCTGCTCTATCAAAGTGAATGTTCAATTCTGTGACTTCAATGCAAACATCACAAAGAAGTTCCTGAGAATGCTTCTCTCTAGATTTTATATGTAATCCCGCTTCCAACGAAATCCTCAGAGCCATCCGAATATCCACTTTCTGATTCCACAAAAAGAGTGTTTTAAAACGGCTCTGTAAAAACAAAAGTTCAACTCTGTTAGTTGAATACACACATCACAAACAAGTTTCTGAGAATGCTTCTGTCTAGTTTTTATGGGAAGATATTTCCTTTTTCACCATAGGCCTCACAGCGCTCGAAATGTCCACTTCCAGATAGTGCAGAAAGAGTGTTTCAAACGTGCTCTATAAAAGGGAATATTCAACTCTGTGACTTGAATGGAAACATCACAAAGCAGTTTCTGAGAATGCTTCCCTCTAGATTTTATATGGAGATATTCCGTTTTCGAACGAAATCTTCAAATCTATCTAAATATCAACTTGCAGATTCTACTCAAGGAATGTTTCCAAAATGCTGTATGCAAGCAATGGTTCAACTCTGTTAATTGAGGTCATACAGCACAAAGAAGTTTCTGAGAATGCTTCTGTCTAGATTTTATATGAAGATATCCCGTTTCCAACGAAATCCTCAAAGCTATCCAAATATCCACTTGCAGATTCTACAAAAAGATTGTTTCAAAACTGCTGTGTCAAAAGGAAGGTTCAACTCTGTTACTTGAGTACACACATCAAAAAGAAGTTTCTGAGAATGCTTGTTTCTGGTTTTTATGAGAAGATATTTCCTTTTTCACCATAGGCCTCAAAGCGCTGCAAATGTCCACTTCCAAATATTACAAAAAGAGTGTTTCAAACCTGCTCTATGAAAGGAAGTTTTCAACTCTATGAGTGGAATGCAAACATCACAGAGAAGTTTCTGAGAATGCATCTGTCTTGAGCTTCTATGAAGAAATTCCCGTTTCCAACGAAATCTTAAAATCTATCCAAATATCCACCTGCAGATCCTACAAAAGGAGTGTTTCCAAAATGCTGTATCAAAACAAAGGTTCAACTGTGTTCGTTTAGGACACACATCACAAATAAGTTTCTGAGAATCCTTCTGTCTAGTTTTTATTTGAAGATATTTCCTTTCTCCCCGTAGGCCTGAAAGCGCTTGAAATGTCCACTTCCAGATACTACAGAAAGAGTGTTTCAAACCTGCACTCTGAAAAGGAATGTTCAATTCTGTGACTTGAATGCAAACATCAGAAAGAAGTTCCTGAGAATGCTTCTCTCTAGATTTTATACGTCATCCCGTTTCCAACGAAATCCACAAAGCTATCCAATTATCCACTTTCAGATTCCACAAAAAGAGTGTTTTAAAATTGCTCTGTAACAGAAATGTTCAACTCTGTTAGTTGAATACACACATCACAAACAAGTTTCTGAGACGGCTTCTGTCTAGTTTTTATGGGAAGATATTTCCTTTTAACCATAGGCCTCAAAGAGCTCGAAATATCCACTTCCAGGTAGTGCCGAAAGAGTGTTTCAAACCTACTGTATAAAAGGGAATATTCAACTCTGTGACTTGAATGCAAACATCACAAAGCAGTTTCTGAGAATGCTTCCGTCTAGATTTTCTATGAAGATATTCCCGTTTCCAACGAAATCTTCAAAGCTATCTAAATATCAACTTGCAGATTCTACTAAAGGAATGTCTCCAAAATGCTGTATCCAAACAAAGGTTCAGCTCTGTGAATTGAGGACATACAGCACAAAGAAGTTTCTGAGAATGCTCCTGTCTGGATTTTATAGGAAGATAACCCGTTTCCAACGAAATCCTCAAAGCTATCCAAATATCCACTTGCAGATTCTACCAAAAGAGTGTTTCAAAACTGCTCTGTCAAAAGGAAGGTTCAACACTGTTACTTGAGTACACACAACACAAAGAAGTTTCTGAGAATGCTTCTTTCTGGTTTTTATGAGAAGATATTTCCTTTTTCACCATAGGCCTCAAAGCGCTCGAAATGTCCGCTTCCAGGTAGTGCAGAAAGAGTGTTTCAAACCTGCTCTATGAAAGGAAGTGTTCAACTCTACTGAGTTGAATGCAAACATCACAGAGATGTTTCCGAGAATGCTTCTGTCTTGATTTTATATGAAGATATTCCGGTTTCCAACGAAATCTTCAAAGCTATCCAAATATCCACCTGCAGATTCTACAAAAGGAGTGTTTCCAAAATGCTGTATCAAAACAAAGGTTCAACTCTGTTAGTTGAGGACACACATCACAAATAAGTTTCTGAGAATGCTTCTGTCTAGTTTTTATTTGAAGGTATTTCCTTTCTCTCCATAGGCCTGAAAGCGCTTGAAATGCCCACTTCCAGATACTAGAGAAAGAGTGTTTCAAACCTGCTCTATGAAAGGGAATGTTCAATTCTGTGACTTGAATGCAAACATCACAAAGAAGTTCCTGAGAATGCTTCTCTCTAGATATTATATGTCATCCCGTTTCCAACGAAATCCTCAAAGCTATCCAAATATCCACTTGCAGATTCTACAAAAAGAGTGTTTCAAAACTCCTCTGTCAAAAGGATGGTTCAACACTGTTACATGAGTACACACAACACAAAGAAGTTTCTGAGAATGCTTTCTTTCTGGTTTCTATGAGAAGATATTTCCTTTTTCACCATAGGACTCAAAGCGCTCGAAATGTCCTCTTCCAGGTAGTGCAGAAAGAGTGTTTCAAACCTGCTCTATGAAAGGAAGTGTACAACTCCATGAGCTGAATGCAAACATCACTGAGAAGTTTCTGAGAATGCTTCTGTTTGATTTTATATGAAGAAATTCCCGTTTCCAACGAAATCTTCAGAGCTATCCACATATCCACCTGCAGATTCTACAAAAGGAGTGTTTCCAAAATGCTGTATCAAAACCAAAGTTCAACTCTGTTAGTTGAGGACACACATCACAAATAAGTTTCTGAGAATGCTTCTGTCTAGATTCTATATGAAGATATCCCCTTTCCAACGAATCCCTCTAAGCTATCCAAATATCCACCTGCAGATTCTACAAAAAGAGTGTTTCCAAAATGCTGTATCAAAACAAAGTTTCAACTCTGTTAGTTGAGGACACACATCACAAATAAGTTTGAGGATGCTTCTGTCTAGTTTTTATTCGAAGATATTTCCTTTCTCACCATAGGCCTGAAAGCGCTTGAAATGTCCACTTCCAGATACTACAGAATGAGTGTTTCAAACCTGCTCTATCAAAGTGAATGTTCAATTCTGTGACTTCAATGCAAACATCACAAAGAAGTTCCTGAGAATGCTTCTCTCTAGATTTTATATGTAATCCCGCTTCCAACGAAATCCTCAGAGCCATCCGAATATCCACTTTCTGATTCCACAAAAAGAGTGTTTTAAAACGGCTCTGTAAAAACAAAAGTTCAACTCTGTTAGTTGAATACACACATCACAAACAAGTTTCTGAGAATGCTTCTGTCTAGTTTTTATGGGAAGATATTTCCTTTTTCACCATAGGCCTCAAAGCGCTCGAAATGTCCACTTCCAGATAGTGCAGAAAGAGTGTTTCAAACGTGCTCTATAAAAGGGAATATTCAACTCTGTGACTTGAATGGAAACATCACAAAGCAGTTTCTGAGAATGCTTCCGTCTAGATTTTATATGAAGATATTCCCGTTTCCAACGAAATCTTCAAATCTCTCTAAATATCAACTTGCAGATTCTACTAAAGGAATGTTTCCAAAATGCTGTATCCAAGCAATGGTTCAACTCTGTTAATTGAGGACATACAGCACAAAGAAGTTTCTGAGAATGCTTCTGTCTAGATTTTATATGAAGATATCCCGTTTCCAACGAAATCCTCAAAGCTATCCAAATATCCACTTGCAGATTCTACAAAAAGATTGTTTCAAAACTGCTGTGTCAAAAGGAAGGTTCAACTCTGTTACTTGAGTACACACATCAAAAAGAAGTTTCTGAGAATGCTTGTTTCTGGTTTTTATGAGAAGATATTTCCTTTTTCACCATAGGCCTCAAAGCGCTGCAAATGTCCACTTCCAAATATTACAAAAAGAGTGTTTCAAACCTGCTCTATGAAAGGAAGTTTTCAACTCTATGAGTGGAATGCAAACATCACAGAGAAGTTTCGGAGAATGCATCTGTCTTGAGTTTATATGAAGAAATTCCCGTTTCCAACGAAATCTTAAAATCTATCCAAATATCCACCTGCAGATTCTACAAAGGGAGTGTTTCCAAAATGCTGTATCAAAACAAAGGTTCAACTGTGTTCGTTTAGGACACACATCACCAATAAGTTTCTGAGAATCCTTCTGTCTAGTTTTTATTTGAAGATATTTCCTTTCTCCCCATAGGCCTGAAAGTGCTTGAAATGTCCACTTCCAGATACTACAGAAAGAGTGTTTCAAACCTGCACTATGAAAAGGAATGTTCAATTCTGTGACTTGAATGGAAACATCAGAAAGAAGTTCCTGAGAATGCTTCTCTCTAGATTTTATACGTCATCCCGTTTCCAACGAAACCCACAAAGCTATCCAATTATCCACTTTCAGATTCCACAAAAAGAGTGTTTTAAAATTGCTCTGTAACAGAAATGTTCAACTCTGGTAGTTGAATACACACATCACAAACAAGTTTCTGAGACGGCTTCTGTCTAGTTTTTATGGGAAGATATTTCCTTTTAACCATAGGCCTCAAAGAGCTCGAAATATCCACTTCCAGGTAGTGCCGAAAGAGTGTTTCAAACCTACTCTATAAAAGGGAATATTCAACTCTGTGACTTGAATGGAAACATCACAAAGCAGTTTCTGAGAATGCTTCCGTCTAGATTTTCTATGAAGATATTCCCGTTTCCAACGAAATCTTCAAAGCTATCTAAATATCAACTTGCAGATTCTACTAAAGGAATGTCTCCAAAATGCTGTATCCAAACAAAGGTTCAGCTCTGTGAATTGAGGACATACAGCACAAAGAAGTTTCTGAGAATGCTCCTGTCTGGATTTTATATGAAGATAACCCGTTTCCAACGAAATCCTCAAAGCTATCCAAATATCCACTTGCAGATTCTACCAAAAGAGTGTTTCAAAACTGCTCTGTCAAAAGGAAGGTTCAACACTGTTACTTGAGTACACACAACACAAAGAAGTTTCTGAGAATGCTTCTTTCTGGTTTTTATGAGAAGATATTTCCTTTTTCACCATAGGCCTCAAAGCGCTCGAAATGTCCGCTTCCAGGTAGTGCAGAAAGAGTGTTTCAAACCTGCTCTATGAAAGGAAGTGTTCAACTCTACTGAGTTGAATGCAAACATCACAGAGATGTTTCCGAGAATGCTTCTGTCTTGAGTTTATATGAAGATATTCCGGTTTCCAACGAAATCTTCAAAGCTATCCAAATATCCACCTGCAGATTCTACAAAAGGAGTGTTTCCAAAATGCTGTATCAAAACAAAGGTTCAACTCTGTTAGTTGAGGACACACATCACAAATAAGTTTCTGAGAATGCTTCTGTCTAGTTTTTATTTGAAGGTATTTCCTTTCTCTCCATAGGCCTGAAAGCGCTTGAAATGCCCACTTCCAGATACTAGAGAAAGAGTGTTTCAAACCTGCTCTATGAAAGGGAATGTTCAATTCTGTGACTTGAATGCAAACATCACAAAGAAGTTCCTGAGAATGCTTCTCTCTAGATATTATATGTCATCCCGTTTCCAACGAAATCCTCAAAGCTATCCAAATATCCACTTGCAGATTCTACAAAAAGAGTGTTTCAAAACTGCTCTGTCAAAAGGATGGTTCAACACTGTTACATGAGTACACACAACACAAAGAAGTTTCTGAGAATGCTTCTTTCTGGTTTCTATGAGAAGATATTTCCTTTTTCACCATAGGACTCAAAGCGCTCGAAATGTCCTCTTCCAGGTAGTGCAGAAAGAGTGTTTCAAACCTGCTCTATGAAAGGAAGTGTTCAACTCCATGAGCTGAATGCAAACATCACTGAGAAGTTTCTAAGAATGCTTCTGTTTGATTTTATATGAAGAAATTCCCGTTTCCAACGAAATCTTCAAAGCTATCCACATATCCACCTGCAGATTCTACAAAAGAAGTGTTTCCAAAATGCTGTATCAAAACCAAGGTTCAACTCTGTTAGTTGAGGACACACATCACAAATAAGTTTCTGAGAATGCTTCTGTCTAGATTTTATATGAAGATATCCCCTTTCCAACGAATCCCTCTAAGCTATCAAAATATCCACCTGCAGATTCTACAAAAAGAGTGTTTCCAAAATGCTGTATCAAAAGAAAGTTTTAACTCTGTTAGTTGAGGACACACATCACAAATAAGTTTCTGAGGATGCTTCTGTCTAGTTTTTATTCGAAGATATTTCCTTTCCCACCATAGGCCTGAAAGCGCTTGAAATGTCCACTTCCAGATACTACAGAATGAGTGTTTCAAACCTGCTCTATCAAAGTGAATGTTCAATTCTGTGACTTCAATGCAAACATCACAAAGAAGTTCCTGAGAATGCTTCTCTCTAGATTTTATACGTAATCCCGCTTCCAACGAAATCCTCAGTAGCCATCCGAATATCCACTTTCTGATTCCACAAAAAGAGTGTTTTAAAACGGCTCTGTAAAAACAAAAGTTCAACTCTGTTAGTTGAATACACACATCACAAACAAGTTTCTGAGAATGCTTCTGTCTAGTTTTTATGGGAAGATATTTCCTTTTTCACCATAGGCCTCAAAGCGCTCGAAATGTCCGCTTCCAGATAGTGCAGAAAGAGTGTTTCAAACGTGCTCTATAAAAGGGAATATTCAACTCTGTGACTTGAATGGAAACATCACAAAGCAGTTTCTGAGAATGCTTCCCTCTAGATTTTATATGGAGATATTCCCTTTTCCAACGAAATCTTCAAATCTATCTAAATATCAACTTGCAGATTCTACTCAAGGAATGTTTCCAAAATGCTGTATGCAAGCAATGGTTCAACTCTGTTAATTGAGGTCATACAGCACAAAGAAGTTTCTGAGAATGCTTCTGTCTAGATTTTATATGAAGATATCCCGTTTCCAACGAAATCCTCAAAGCTATCCAAATATCCACTTGCAGATTCTACAAAAAGATTGTTTCAAAACTGCTGTGTCAAAAGGAAGGTTCAACTCTGTTACTTGAGTACACACATCAAAAAGAAGTTTCTGAGAATGCTTGTTTCTGGTTTTTATGAGAAGATATTTCCTTTTTCACCATAGGCCTCACAGCGCTGCAAATGTCCACTTCCAAATATTACAAAAAGAGTGTTTCAAACCTGCTCTATGAAAGGAAGTTTTCAACTCTATGAGTGGAATGCAAACATCACAGAGAAGTTTCTGAGAATGCATCTGTCTTGAGTTTATATGCAGAAATTCCCGTTTCCAACGAAATCTTAAAATCTATCCAAATATCCACCTGCAGATCCTACAAAAGGAGTGTTTCCAAAATGCTGTATCAAAACAAAGGTTCAACTGTGTTCGTTTAGGACACACATCACAAATAAGTTTCTGAGAATCCTTCTGTCTAGTTTTTATTTGAAGATATTTCCTTTCTCCCCGTAGGCCTGAAAGCGCTTGAAATGTCCACTTCCAGATACTACAGAAAGAGTGTTTCAAACCTGCACTCTGAAAAGGAATGTTCAATTCTGTGACTTGAATGCAAACATCAGAAAGAAGTTCCTGAGAATGCTTCTCTCTAGATTTTATACGTCATCCCGTTTCCAACGAAATCCACAAAGCTATCCAATTATCCACTTTCAGATTCCACAGAAAGAGTGTTTTAAAATTGCTCTGTAACAGAAATGTTCAACTCTGGTAGTTGAATACACACATCACAAACAAGTTTCTGAGACGGCTTCTGTCTAGTTTTTATGGGAAGATATTTCCTTTTAACCATAGGCCTCAAAGAGCTCGAAATATCCACTTCCAGGTAGTGCCGAAAGAGTGTTTCAAACCTACTCTATAAAAGGGAATATTCAACTCTGTGACTTGAATGCAAACATCACAAAGCAGTTTCTGAGAATGCTTCCGTCTAGATTTTCTATGAAGATATTCCCGTTTCCAACGAAATCTTCAAAGCTATCTAAATATCAACTTGCAGATTCTACTAAAGGAATGTCTCCAAAATGCTGTATCCAAACAAAGGTTCAGCTCTGTGAATTGAGGACATACAGCACAAAGAAGTTTCTGAGAATGCTCCTGTCTGGATTTTATAGGAAGATAACCCGTTTCCAACGAAATCCTCAAAGCTATCCAAATATCCACTTGCAGATTCTACCAAAAGAGTGTTTCAAAACTACTCTGTCAAAAGGAAGGTTCAACACTGTTACTTGAGTACACACAACACAAAGAAGTTTCTGAGAATGCTTCTTTCTGGTTTTTATGAGAAGATATTTCCTTTTTCACCATAGGCCTCAAAGCGCTCGAAATGTCCGCTTCCAGGTAGTGCAGAAAGAGTGTTTCAAACCTGCTCTATGAAAGGAAGTGTTCAACTCTACTGAGTTGAATGCAAACATCACAGAGATGTTTCCGAGAATGCTTCTGTCTTGATTTTATATGAAGATATTCCGGTTTCCAACGAAATCTTCAAAGCTATCCACATATCCACCTGCAGATTCTACAAAAGGAGTGTTTCCAAAATGCTGTATCAAAACAAAGGTTCAACTCTGTTAGTTGAGGACACACATCACAAATAAGTTTCTGAGAATGCTTCTGTCTAGTTTTTATTTGAAGGTATTTCCTTTCTCTCCATAGGCCTGAAAGCGCTTGAAATGCCCACTTCCAGATACTAGAGAAAGAGTGTTTCAAACCTGCTCTATGAAAGGGAATGTTCAATTCTGTGACTTGAATGCAAACATCACAAAGAAGTTCCTGAGAATGCTTCTCTCTAGATATTATATGTCATCCCGTTTCCAACGAAATCCTCAAAGCTATCCAAATATCCACTTGCAGATTCTACAAAAAGAGTGTTTCAAAACTGCTCTGTCAAAAGGATGGTTCAACACTGTTACATGAGTACACACAACACAAAGAAGTTTCTGAGAATGCTTCTTTCTGGTTTCTATGAGAAGATATTTCCTTTTTCACCATAGGACTCAAAGCGCTCGAAATGTCCTCTTCCAGGTAGTGCAGAAAGAGTGTTTCAAACCTGCTCTATGAAAGGAAGTGTACAACTCCATGAGCTCAATGCAAACATCACTGAGAAGTTTCTGAGAATGCTTCTGTTTGATTTTATATGAAGAAATTCCCGTTTCCAACGAAATCTTCAGAGCTATCCACATATCCACCTGCAGATTCTACAAAAGGAGTGTTTCCAAAATGCTGTATCAAAACCAAGGTTCAACTCTGTTAGTTGAGGACACACATCACAAATAAGTTTCTGAGAATGCTTCTGTCTAGATTTTATATGAAGATATCCCCTTTCCAACGAATCCCTCTAAGCTATCCAAATATCCACCTGCAGATTCTACAAAAAGAGTGTTTCCAAAATGCTGTATCAAAACAAAGTTTCAACTCTGTTAGTTGAGGACACACATCACAAATAAGTTTCTGAGGATGCTTCTGTCTAGTTTTTATTCGAAGATATTTCCTTTCTCACCATAGGCCTGAAAGCGCTTGAAATGTCCACTTCCAGATCCTACAGAATGAGTGTTTCAAACCTGCTCTATCAAAGTGAATGTTCAATTCTGTGACTTCAATGCAAACATCACAAAGAAGTTCCTGAGAATGCTTCTCTCTAGATTTTATATGTAATCCCGCTTCCAACGAAATCCTCAGAGCCATCCGAATATCCACTTTCTGATTCCACAAAAAGAGTGTTTTAAAACGGCTCTGTAAAAACAAAAGTTCAACTCTGTTACTTGAATACACACATCACAAACAAGTTTCTGAGAATGCTTCTGTCTAGTTTTTATGGGAAGATATTTCCTTTTTCACCATAGGCCTCAAAGCGCTCGAAATGTCCACTTCCAGATAGTGCAGAAAGAGTGTTTCAAACGTGCTCTATAAAAGGGAATATTCAACTCTGTGACTTGAATGGAAACATCACAAAGCAGTTTCTGAGAATGCTTCCCTCTAGATTTTATATGGAGATATTCCCTTTTCCAACGAAATCTTCAAATCTATCTAAATATCAACTTGCAGATTCTACTCAAGGAATGTTTCCAAAATGCTGTATCCAAGCAATGGTTCAACTCTGTTAATTGAGGACATACAGCACAAAGAAGTTTCTGAGAATGCTTCTGTCTAGATTTTTATATGAAGATATCCCGTTTCCAACGAAATCCTCAAAGCTATCCAAATATCCACTTGCAGATTCTACAAAAAGATTGTTTCAAAACTGCTGTGTCAAGAGGAAGGTTCAACTCTGTTACTTGAGTACACACATCAAAAAGAAGTTTCTGAGAATGCTTGTTTCTGGTTTTTATGAGAAGATATTTCCTTTTTCACCATAGGCCTCAAAGCGCTGCAAATGTCCACTTCCAAATATTACAAAAAGAGTGTTTCAAACCTGCTCTATGAAAGGAAGTTTTCAACTCTATGAGTGGAATGCAAACATCACAGAGAAGTTTCTGAGAATGCATCTGTCTTGAGCTTCTATGAAGAAATTCCCGTTTCCAACGAAATTTTAAAATCTATCCAAATATCCACCTGCAGATCCTACAAAAGGAGTGTTTCCAAAATGCTGTATCAAAACAAAGGTTCAACTGTGTTCGTTTAGGACACACATCACAAATAAGTTTCTGAGAATCCTTCTCTCTAGTTTTTATTTGAAGATATTTCCTTTCTCCCCGTAGGCCTGAAAGCGCTTGAAATGTCCACTTCCAGATACTACAGAAAGAGTGTTTCAAACCTGCACTCTGAAAAGGAATGTTCAATTCTGTGACTTGAATGCAAACATCAGAAAGAAGTTCCTGAGAATGCTTCTCTCTAGATATTATTCGTAATCCCGTTTCCAACGAAATCCACAAAGCTATCCAGTTATCCACTTTCAGATTCCACAAAAAGACTGTTTTAAAACTGCTCTGTAAAAAGAAATGTTCAATGCTCTTAGTTGAATACACACATCTCAAACAAGTTTCTGAGAAGGCTTCTGTCTAGTTTTTATGGGAAGATATTTCCTTTTAACCATAGGCCTCAAAGAGCTCGAAATATCCACTTCCAGGTAGTGCCGAAAGAGTGTTTCAAACCTACTCTATAAAAGGGAATATTCAACTCTGTGACTTGAATGCAAACATCACAAAGCAGTTTGCTGAGAATGCTTCCGTCTAGCATTTTCTATGAAGATATTCCCGTTTCCAACGAAATCTTCAAAGCTATCTAAATATCAACTTGCAGATTCTACTAAAGGAATGTCTCCAAAATGCTGTATCCAAACAAAGGTTCAGCTCTGTGAATTGAGGACATACAGCACAAAGAAGTTTCTGAGAATGCTTCTGTCTAGATTTAATATGAAGATAACCCGTTTCCAACGAAATCCTCAAAGCTATCCAAATATCCACTTGCAGATTCTACAAAAAGAGTGTTTCAAAACTGCTCTGTCAAAAGGATGGTTCAACACTGTTACATGAGTACACACAACACAAAGAAGTTTCTGAGAACGCTTCTTTCTGGTTTTTATGAGAGGATATTTCCTTTTTCACCATAGGCCTCAAAGCGCTCGAAATGTCCACTTCCAGGTAGTGCAGAAAGAGTGTTTCAAACCTGCTCTATGAAAGGAAGTGTTCAACTCCATGAGCTGAATGCAAACATCACAGAGAAGTTTCTGAGAATGCTTCTGTTTGATTTTATATGAAGAAATTCCCGTTTCCAACGAAATCTTCAAAGCTATCCACATATCCACCTGCAGATTCTTCAAAAGGAGTGTTTCCAAAATGCTGTATCAAAACCAAGGTTCAACTCTGTTAGTTGAGGACACACATCACAAATAAGTTTCTGAGAATGCTTCTGTCTAGATTTTATATGAAGATATCCCCTTTCCAACGAATCCCTCTAAGCTATCCAAGTATCCACCTGCAGATTCTACAAAAAGAGTGTTTCCAAAATGCTGTATCAAAACAAAGTTTCAACTCTGTTAGTTGAGGACACACATCACAAATAAGTTTCTGAGGATGCTTCTGTCTAGTTTTAATTTGAAGATATTTCCTTTCTCCCAATAGGCCTGAAAGCGCTTGAAATGTCCACTTCCAGATACTACAGCATGAGTGTTTCAAACCTGCTCTATCAAAGTGAATGTTCAATTCTGTGACTTCAATGCAAACATCACAAAGTAGTTCCTGAGAATGCTTCTCTCTACATTTTATATGTAATCCCGCTTCCAACGAAATCCTCAAAGCCATCCGAATATCCACTTTCTGATTCCACAAAAAGATTGTTTTAAAACTGCTCTGTAAAAACAAAAGTTCAAGTCTGTTAGTTGAATACACACATCACAAACAAGTTTCTGAGAATGCTTCTGTCTAGTTTTTATGGGAAGATATTTCCTTTTTCACCATAGGCCTCAAAGCGCTCGAAATGTCCACTTCCAGATAGTGCCGAAAGAGTGTTTCAAACGTGCTCTATAAAAGGGAATATTCAACTCCTGTGACTTGAATGGAAACATCACAAAGCAGTTTCTGAGAATGCCTCCGTCTAGATTTTATATGAAGATATTCCCGTTTCCAACGAAATCTTCAAATCTATCTAAATATCAACTTGCAGATTCTACTAAAGGAATGTTTCCAAAATGCTGTATCCAAGCAATGGTTCAACTCTGTTAATTGAGGACATACAGCACAAAGAAGTTTCTGAGAATGCTTCTGTCTAGATTTTATATGAAGATATCCCGTTTCCAACGAAATCCTCAAAGCTATCCAACTATCCACTTGCAGATTCTACAAAAAGATTGTTTCAAAACTGCTGTGTCAAAAGGAAGGTTCAACTCTGTTACTTGAGTACACACATCAAAAAGCAGTTTCTGAGAATGCTTGTTTCTGGTTTTTATGAGAAGATATTTCCTTTTTCACCATAGGCCTCAAAGCGCTGCAAATGTCCACTTCCAAATATTACAAAAAGAGTGTTTCAAACCTGCTCTATGAAAGGAAGTTTTCAACTCTATGAGTGGAATGCAAACATCACAGAGAAGTTTCTGAGAATGCATCTGTCTTGAGTTTATATGAAGAAATTCCCGTTTCCAATGAAATCTTAAAATCTATCCAAATATCCACCTGCAGATTCTACAAAAGGAGTGTTTCCAAAATGCTGTATCAAAACAAAGGTTCAACTGTGTTCGTTTAGGACACACATCACAAATAAGTTTCTGAGAATCCTTCTGTCTAGTTTTTATTTCAAGATATTTCCTTTCTCCCCATAGGCTTGAAAGCGCTTGAAATGTCCACTTCGAGATACTACAGAGTGTTTCAAACCTGCACTATGAAAAGGAATGTTCAATTCTGTGACTTGAATGCAAACATCAGAAAGAAGTTCCTGAGAATGCTTCTCTCTAGATTTTAAACGTAATCCCGTTTCCAACGAAATCCACAAAGCTATCCAATTATCCACTTTCAGATTCCACCAAAAGAGTGTTTTAAAACTGCTCTGTAAAAAGAAATGTTCAACGCTCTTAGTTGAATACACACATCTCAAACAAGTTTCTGAGAAGGCTTCCGTCTAGTTTTTATGGGAAGATATTTCCTTTTTCACCATAGGCCTCAAAGCGCTCGAAATCTCCACTTCCAGGGAGTTTAGAAAGAGTGTTTCAAACCTGCTCTATAAAAGAATATTTAACTCTGTGACTTGAATGCAAACATCACAGAGCAGTTTCTGACAATGCTTCCGTCTAGATTTTTTATGAAGATATTCCCGTTTCCAACGAAATCTTCAAAGCTATCTAAATATCAACTTGCAGATTCTACTAAAGGAATGTTTCCAAAATGCTGTATCCAAACAAAGGTTCAACTCTGTGAATTGAGGACATACAGCACAAAGAAGTTTCTGAGAATGCTTCTGTCTAGATTTAATATGAAGATAACCCGTTTCCAACGAAATCCTCAAAGCTATCCAAATATCCACTTGCAGATTCTACAAAAAGAGTGTTTCAAAACTGCTCTGTCAAAAGGATGGTTCAACACTGTTACATGAGTACACACAACACAAAGAAGTTTCTGAGAACGCTTCTTTCTGGTTTTTATGAGAGGATATTTCCTTTTTCACCATAGGCCTCAAAGCGCTCGAAATGTCCACTTCCAGGTAGTGCAGAAAGAGTGTTTCAAACCTGCTCTATGAAAGGAAGTGTTCAACTCCATGAGCTGAATGCAAACATCACAGAGAAGTTCCTGAGAATGCTTCTGTTTGATTTTATATGAAGAAATTCCCGTTTCCAACGAAATCTTCAAAGCTATCCACATATCCACCTGCAGATTCTTCAAAAGGAGTGTTTCCAAAATGCTGTATCAAAACCAAGGTTCATCTCTGTTAGTTGAGGACACACATCACAAATAAGTTTCTGAGAATGCTTCTGTCTAGATTTTATATGAATTTATCCCCTTTCCAACGAATCCCTCTAAGCTATCCAAGTATCCACCTGCAGATTCTACAAAAAGAGTGTTTCCAAAATGCTGTATCAAAACAAAGTTTCAACTCTGTTAGTTGAGGACACACATCACAAATAAGTTTCTGAGGATGCTTCTGTCTAGTTTTAATTTGAAGATATTTCCTTTCTCCCCATAGGCCTGAAAGCACTTGAAATGTCCACTTCCAGATACTACAGAATGAGTGTTTCAAACCTGCTCTATCAAAGTGAATGTTCAATTCTGTGACTTCAATGCAAACATCACAAAGTAGTTCCTGAGAATGCTTCTCTCTACATTTTATATGTAATCCCGCTTCCAACGAAATCCTCAAAGCCATCCGAATATCCACTTTCTGATTCCACAAAAAGATTGTTTTAAAACTGCTCTGTAAAAACAAAAGTTCAAGTCTGTTAGTTGAATACACACATCACAAACAAGTTTCTGAGAATGCTTCTGTCTAGTTTTTATGGGAAGATATTTCCTTTTTCACCATAGGCCTCAAAGCGCTCGAAATGTCCACTTCCAGATAGTGCCGAAAGAGTGTTTCAAACGTGCTCTATAAAAGGGAATATTCAACTCTGTGACTTGAATGGAAACATCACAAAGCAGTTTCTGAGAATGCCTCCGTCTAGATTTTATATGAAGATATTCCCGTTTCCAACGAAATCTTCAAATCTATCTAAATATCAACTTGCAGATTCTACTAAAGGAATGTTTCCAAAATGCTGTATCCAAGCAATGGTTCAACTCTGTTAATTGAGGACATACAGCACAAAGAAGTTTCTGAGAATGCTTCTGTCTAGATTTTATATGAAGATATCCCGTTTCCAACGAAATCCTCAAAGCTATCCAAATATCCACTTGCAGATTCTACAAAAAGATTGTTTCAAAACTGCTGTGTCAAAAGGAAGGTTCAACTCTGTTACTTGAGTACACACATCAAAAAGCAGTTTCTGAGAATGCTTGTTTCTGTTTTTTATGAGAAGATATTTCCTTTTTCACCATAGGCCTCAAAGCGCTGCAAATGTCCACTTCCAAATATTACAAAAAGAGTGTTTCAAACCTGCTCTATGAAAGGAAGTTTTCAACTCTGTGAGTTGAATGCAAACATCACAGAGAAGTTTCTGAGAATGCATCTGTCTTGAGTTTATATGAAGAAATTCCCGTTTCCAATGCAATCTTAAAATCTATCCAAATATCCACCTGCAGATTCTACAAAAGGAGTGTTTCCAAAATGCTGTATCAAAACAAAGGTTCAACTGTGTTCGTTTAGGACACACATCACAAATAAGTTTCTGAGAATCCTTCTGTCTAGTTTTTATTTCAAGATATTTCCTTTCTCCCCATAGGCTTGAAAGCGCTTGAAATGTCCACTTCCAGATACTACAGAGTGTTTCAAACCTGAACTATGAAAAGGAATGTTCAATTCTGTGACTTGAATGCAAACATCAGAAAGAAGTTCCTGAGAATGCTTCTCTCTAGATTTTATTCGTAATCCCGTTTCCAACGAAATCCACAAAGCTATCCAGTTATCCACTTTCAGATTCCACAAAAAGAGTGTTTTAAAACTGCTCTGTAAAAGGAAATGTTCAACGCTCTTAGTTGAATACACACATCTCAAACAAGTTTCTGAGAAGGCTTCCGTCTAGTTTTTATGGGAAGATATTTCCTTTTTCACCATAGGCCTCAAAGCGCTCGAAATCTCCACCTCCAGGTAGTGCAGAAAGAGTGTTTCAAACTTGCTCTATAAAAGACTATTTAACTCTGTGACTTGAATGCAAACATCACAAAGCAGTTTCTGACAATGCTTCCGTCTACATTTTTTATGAAGATATTCCCGTTTCCAACGAAATCTTCAAAGCTATCTAAATATCCACTTGCAGATTCTACTAAAGGAATGTTTCCAAAATGCTGTATCCAAACAAAGGTTCAACTCTGTGAATTGAGGACATACAGCACAAAGAAGTTTCTCAGAATGCTTCTGTCTAGATTTAATATGAAGATAACCCGTTTCCAACGAAATCCTCAAAGCTATCCAAATATGCACTTGCAGATTCTACAAAAAGACTGTTTCAAAACTGCTGTGTCAAAAGGATGGTTCAACACTGTTACATGAGTACACACAACACAAAGAAGTTTCTGAGAATGCTTCCTTCTGGTTTTTATGAGAAGATATTTCCTTTTTCACCATAGGCCTCAAAGCGCTCGAAATGTCCACTTCCAGGTAGTGCAGAAAGAGTGTTTCAAACCTGCTCTATGAAAGGAAGTGTTCAACTCCATGAGCTGAATGCAAACATCACAGAGAAGTTTCTGAGAATGCTTCTGTTTGATTCTATATGAAGAAATTCCCGATTCCAACGAAATCTTCAAAGCTATCCACATATCCACCTGCAGATTCTACAAAAGGAGTGTTTCCGAAATGCTGTATCAAAACCAAGGTTCAACTCTGTTAGTTGAGGACACACATCACAAATAAGTTTCTGAGAATGCTTCTGTCTGGATTTTATATGAAGATATCCCCTTTCCAACGAATCCCTCTAAGCTATCCAAACATCCACCTGCAGATTCTACAAAAAGAGTGTTTCCAAAATGCTGTATCAAAACAAAGTTTCAACTCTGTTAGTTGAGGACACACATCACAAATAAGTTTCTGAGGATGCTTCTGTCTAGTTTTAATTTGAAGATATTTCCTTTCTCACCATAGGCCTGAAAGCGCTTGAAATGTCCACTTCCAGATACTACAGAATGAGTGTTTCAAACCTGCTCTATCAAAGTGAATGTTCAATTCTGTGACTTCAATGCAAACATCACAAAGTAGTTCCTGAGAATGCTTCTCTCTAGATTTTATATGTAATCCCGCTTCCAACGAAATCCTCAAAGCCATCCGAATATCCACTTTCTGATTCCACAAAAAGATTGTTTTAAAACTGCTCTGTAAAAACAAAAGTTCAAGTCTGTTAGTTGAATACACACATCACAAACAAGTTTCTGAGAATGCTTCTGTCTAGTTTTTATGGGAAGATATTTCCTTTTTCACCATAGGCCTCAAAGCGCTCGAAATGTCCACTTCCAGATAGTGCAGAAAGAGTGTTTCAAACGTGCTCTATAAAAGAGAATATTCAACTCTGTGACTTGAATGGAAACATCACAAAGCAGTTTCTGAGAATGCCTCCGTCTAGATTTTATATGAAGATATTCCCGTTTCCAACGAAATCTTCAAATCTATCTAAATATCAACTTGCAGATTCTACTAAAGGAATGTTTCCAAAATGCTGTATCCAAGCAATGGTTCAACTCTGTTAATTGAGGACATACAGCACAAAGAAGTTTCTGAGAATGCTTCTGTCTAGATTTTATATGAAGATATCCCGTTTCCAACGAAATAATCAAAGCTATCCAAATATCCACTTGCAGATTCTACAAAAAGATTGTTTCAAAACTGCTGTGTCAAAAGGAAGGTTCAACTCTGTTACTTGAGTACACACATCAAAAAGCAGTTTCTGAGAATGCTTGTTTCTGGTTTTTATGAGAAGATATTTCCTTTTTCACCATAGGCCTCAAAGCGCTGCAAATGTCCACTTCCAAATATTACAAAAAGAGTGTTTCAAACCTGCTCTATGAAAGGAAGTTTTCAACTCTATGAGTGGAATGCAAACATCACAGAGAAGTTTCTGAGAATGCATCTGTCTTGAGTTTATATGAAGAAATTCCCGTTTCCAATGAAATCTTAAAATCTATCCAAATATCCACCTGCAGATTCTACAAAAGGAGTGTTTCCAAAATGCTGTATCAAAACAAAGGTTCAACTGTGTTCGTTTAGGACACACATCACAAATAAGTTTCTGAGAATCCTTCTGTCTAGTTTTTATTTGAAGATATTTCCTTTCTCCCCGTAGGCCTGAAAGCGCTTGAAATGTCCACTTCCAGATACTACAGAAAGAGTGTTTCAAACCTGCACTCTGAAAAGGAATGTTCAATTCTGTGACTTGAATGCAAACATCAGAAAGAAGTTCCTGAGAATGCTTCTCTCTAGATTTTATACGTCATCCCGTTTCCAACGAAATCCACAAAGCTATCCAATTATCCACTTTCAGATTCCACAGAAAGAGTGTTTTAAAATTGCTCTGTAACAGAAATGTTCAACTCTGGTAGTTGAATACACACATCACAAACAAGTTTCTGAGACGGCTTCTGTCTAGTTTTTATGGGAAGATATTTCCTTTTAACCATAGGCCTCAAAGAGCTCGAAATATCCACTTCCAGGTAGTGCCGAAAGAGTGTTTCAAACCTACTCTATAAAAGGGAATATTCAACTCTGTGACTTGAATGCAAACATCACAAAGCAGTTTCTGAGAATGCTTCAGTCTAGATTTTTTATGAAGATATTCCCGTTTCCAACGAAATCTTCAAAGCTATCTAAATATCAACTTGCAGATTCTACTAAAGGAATGTTTCCAAAATGCTGTATCCAAACAAAGGTTCAACTGTGTTCGTTTAGGACACACATCACCAATAAGTTTCTGAGAATTCTTCTGTCTAGTTTTTATTTGAAGATATTTCCTTTCTCCCCATAGGCCTGAAAGCGCTTGAAATGTCCACTTCCAGATACTACAGAAAGAGTGTTTCAAACCTGCACTATGAAAAGGAATGTTCAATTCTGTGACTTGAATGCAAACATCAGAAAGAAGTTCCTGAGAATGCTTCTCTCTAGATTTTATACGTCATCCCGTTTCCAACGAAATCCACAAAGCTATCCAATTATCCACTTTCAGATTCCACAAAAAGAGTGTTTTAAAACTGCTCTGTAAAAAGAAATGTTCAACGGTCTTAGTTGAATACACACATCTGAAACAAGTTTCTGAGAAGGCTTCCGTCTAGTTTTTATGGGAAGATATTTCCTTTTTCACCATAGGCCTCAAAGCGCTCGAAATCTCCACTTCCAGGGAGTGCAGAAAGAGTGTTTCAAACCTGCTCTGTAAAAGAATATTTAACTCTGTGACTTGAATGCAAACATCACAAAGCAGTTTCTGAAAATGCTTCCGTCTAGATTTTTTATGAAGATATTCCCGTTTCCAACGAAATCTTCAAAGCTATCTAAATATCAACTTGCAGATTCTACTAAAGGAATGTTTCCAAAATGCTGTATCCAAACAAAGGTTCAACTCTGTGAATTGAGGACATACAGCACAAAGAAGTTTCTGAGAATGCTTCTGTCTAGATTTAATATGAAGATAACCCGTTTCCAACGAAATCCTCAAAGCTATCCAAATATCCACTTGCAGATTCTACAAAAAGAGTGTTTCAAAACTGCTCTGTCAAAAGGATGGTTCAACACTGTTACATGAGTACACACAACACAAAGAAGTTTCTGAGAACGCTTCTTTCTGGTTTTTATGAGAGGATATTTCCTTTTTCACCATAGGCCTCAAAGCGCTCGAAATGTCCACTTCCAGGTAGTGCAGAAAGAGTGTTTCAAACCTGCTCTATGAAAGGAAGTGTTCAACTCCATGAGCTGAATGCAAACATCACAGAGAAGTTCCTGAGAATGCTTCTGTTTGATTTTATATGAAGAAATTCCCGTTTCCAACGAAATCTTCAAAGCTATCCACATATCCACCTGCAGATTCTTCAAAAGGAGTGTTTCCAAAATGCTGTATCAAAACCAAGGTTCAACTCTGTTAGTTGAGGACACACATCACAAATAAGTTTCTGAGAATGCTTCTGTCTAGATTTTATATGAATTTATCCCCTTTCCAACGAATCCCTCTAAGCTATCCAAGTATCCACCTGCAGATTCTACAAAAAGAGTGTTTCCAAAATGCTGTATCAAAACAAAGTTTCAACTCTGTTAGTTGAGGACACACATCACAAATAAGTTTCTGAGGATGCTTCTGTCTAGTTTTAATTTGAAGATATTTCCTTTCTCCCCATAGGCCTGAAAGCACTTGAAATGTCCACTTCCAGATACTACAGAATGAGTGTTTCAAACCTGCTCTATCAAAGTGAATGTTCAATTCTGTGACTTCAATGCAAACATCACAAAGTAGTTCCTGAGAATGCTTCTCTCTAGATTTTATATGTAATCACGCTTCCAACGAAATCCTCAAAGCCATCCGAATATCCACTTTCTGATTCCACAAAAAGATTGTTTTAAAACTGCTCTGTAAAAACAAAAGTTCAAGTCTGTTAGTTGAATACACACATCACAAACAAGTTTCTGAGAATGCTTCTGTCTAGTTTTTATGGGAAGATATTTCCTTTTTCACCATAGGCCTCAAAGCGCTCGAAATGTCCACTTCCAGATAGTGCAGAAAGAGTGTTTCAAACGTGCTCTATAAAAGAGAATATTCAACTCTGTGACTTGAATGGAAACATCACAAAGCAGTTTCTGAGAATGCCTCCGTCTAGATTTTATATGAAGATATTCCCGTTTCCAACGAAATCTTCAAATCTATCTAAATATCAACTTGCAGATTCTACTAAAGGAATGTTTCCAAAATGCTGTATCCAAGCAATGGTTCAACTCTGTTAATTGAGGACATACAGCACAAAGAAGTTTCTGAGAATGCTTCTGTCTAGATTTTATATGAAGATATCCCGTTTCCAACGAAATCCTCAAAGCTATCCAAATATCCACTTGCAGATTCTACAAAAAGATTGTTTCAAAACTGCTGTGTCAAAAGGAAGGTTCAACTCTGTTACTTGAGTACACACATCAAAAAGCAGTTTCTGAGAATGCTTGTTTCTGGTTTTTATGAGAAGATATTTCCTTTTTCACCATAGGTCTCAAAGCGCTGCAAATGTCCACTTCCAAATATTACAAAAAGAGTGTTTCAAACCTGCTCTATGAAAGGAAGTTTTCAGCTCTATGAGTGGAATGCAAACATCACAGAGAAGTTTCGGAGAATGCATCTGTCTTGAGTTTCTATGAAGACATTCCCGTTTCCAACGAAATCTTAAAATCTATCCAAATATCCACCTGCAGATTCTACAAAAGGAGTGTTTCCAAAAGGCTGTATCAAAACAAAGGTTCAACTGTGTTCGTTTAGGACACACATCACCAATAAGTTTCTGAGAATCCTTCTGTCTAGTTTTTATTTGAAGATATTTCCTTTCTCCCCATAGGCCTGAAAGCGCATGAAATGTCCACTTCCAGATACTACAGAAAGAGCGTTTCAAACCTGCACTATGAAAAGGAATGTTCAATTCTGTGACTTGAATGCAAACATCAGAAAGAAGTTCCTGAGAATGCTTCTCTCTAGATTTTATACGTCATCCCGTTTCCAACGAAATCCACAAAGCTATCCAATTATCCACTTTCAGATTTCACAGAAAGAGTGTTTTAAAATTGCTCTGTAACAGAAATGTTCAACTCTGTTAGTTGAATACACACATCACAAACAAGTTTCTGAGACGGCTTCTGTCTAGTTTTTATGGGAAGATATTTCCTTTTAAGCATAGGCCTCAAAGAGCTCGAAATATCCACTTCCAGGTAGTGCCGAAAGAGTGTTTCAAACCTACTCTATAAAAGGGAATATTCAACTCTGTGACTTGAATGCAAACATCACAAAGCAGTTTATGAGAATGCTTCCGTCTAGATTTTCTATGAAGATATTCCCGTTTCCAATGAAATCTTCAAAGCTATCTAAATATCAACTTGCAGATTCTACTAAAGGAATGTTTCCAAAATGCTGTATCCAAACATAGGTTCAGCTCTGTGAATTGAGGACACACAGCACAAAGAAGTTTCTGTGAATGCTCCTGTCTGGATTTTATATGAAGATAACCCGTTTCCAACGAAATCCTCAAAGCTATCCAAATATCCCCTTGCAGATTCTACCAAAAGAGTGTTTCAAACCTGCTCTGTCAAAAGGAAGGTTCAACACTGTTACTTGAGTACACACAACACAAAGAAGTTTCTGAGAATGCTTCTTTCTGGTTTTTATGAGAAGATATTTCCTTTTTCACCATAGGCCTCAAAGCGCTCGAAATGTCCGCTTCCAGGTAGTGCAGAAAGAGTGTTTCAAACCTGCTCTATGAAAGGAAGTGTTCAACTCCATGAGCTGAATGCAAACATCACAGAGAAGTTTCTGAGAATGCTTCTGTTTGATTTTACATGAAGAAATTCCCGTTTCCAACGAAATCTTCAAAGCTATCCACATATCCACCTGCAGATTCTACAAAAGGAGTGTTTCCAAAATGCTGTATCAAAACCAAGGTTCAACTCTGTTAGTTGAGGACACACATCACAAATAAGTTTCTGAGAATGCTTCTGTCTAGATTTTATATGAAGATATCCCCTTTCCAACGAATCCCTCTAAGCTATCCAAATATGCACCTGCAGATTCTACAAAAAGAGTGTTTCCAAAAGGCTGTATCAAAACAAAGTTTCAACTCTGTTAGTTGAGGACACACATCACAAATAAGTTTCTGACGATGCTTCTGTCTAGTTTTAATTTGAAGATATTTCCTTTCTCACCATAGGCCTGAAAGCGCTTGAAATGTCCACTTCCAGATACTACAGAATGAGTGTTTCAAACCTGCTCTATCAAAGTGAATGTTCAATTCTGTGACTTCAATGCAAACATCACAAAGTAGTTCCTGAGAATGCTTCTCTCTAGATTTTATATGTAATCCCGCTTCCAACGAAATCCTCAAAGCCATCCGAATATCCACTTTCTGATTCCACAAAAAGATTGTTTTAAAACTGCTCTGTAAAAACAAAAGTTCAAGTCTGTTAGTTGAATACACACATCACAAACAAGTTTCTGAGAATGCTTCTGTCTAGTTTTTATGGGAAGATATTTCCTTTTTCACCATAGGCCTCAAAGCGCTCGAAATGTCCACTTCTAGATAGTGCAGAAAGAGTGTTTCAAAAGTGCTCTATAAAAGAGAATATTCAACTCTGTGACTTGAATGGAAACATCACAAAGCAGTTTCTGAGAATGCCTCCGTCTAGATTTTATATGAAGATATTCCCGTTTCCAACGAAATCTTCAAATCTATCTAAATATCAACTTGCAGATTCTACTAAAGGAATGTTTCCAAAATGCTGTATCCAAGCAATGGTTCAACTCTGTTAATTGAGGACATACAGCACAAAGAAGTTTCTGAGAATGCTTCTGTCTAGATTTTATATGAAGATATCCCGTTTCCAACGAAATCCTCAAATCTATCCAAATATCCACTTGCAGATTCTACAAAAAGATTGTTTCAAAACTGCTGTGTCAAAAGGAAGGTTCAACTCTGTTACTTGAGTACACACATCAAAAAGCAGTTTCTGAGAATGCTTGTTTCTGGTTTTTATGAGAAGATATTTCCTTTTTCACCATAGGCCTCAAAGCGCTGCAAATGTCCACTTCCAAATATTACAAAAAGAGTGTTTCAAACCTGCTCTATGAAAGGAAGTTTTCAACTCTATGAGTGGAATGCAAACATCACAGAGAAGTTTCGGAGAATGCATCTGTCCTGAGTTTGTATGAAGAAATTCCCGTTTCCAACGAAATCTTAAAATCTATCCAAATATCCACCTGCAGATTCTACAAAGGGAGTGTTTCCAAAATGCTGTATCAAAACAAAGGTTCAACTGTGTTCGTTTAGGACACACATCACCAATAAGTTTCTGAGAATCCTTCTGTCTAGTTTTTATTTGAAGATATTTCCTTTCTCCCCATAGGCCTGAAAGCGCTTGAAATGTCCACTTCCAGATACTACAGAAAGAGTGTTTCAAACCTGCACTATGAAAAGGAATGTTCAATTCTGTGACTTGAATGCAAACATCAGAAAGAAGTTCCTGAGAATGCTTCTCTCTAGATTTTTTACGTCATCCCGTTTCCAACGAAATCCACAAAACTACCCAATTATCCACTTTCAGATTCCACAAAAAGAGTGTTTTAAAACTGCTCTGTAACAGAAATGTTCAGCTCTGTTAGTTGAATACACACATCACAAACAAGTTTCTGAGACGGCTTCTGTCTAGTTTTTATGGGAAGATATTTCCTTTTAACCATAGGCCTCAAACAGCTCGAAATATCCACTTCCAGGTAGTGCCGAAAGAGTGTTTCAAACCTACTCTGTAAAACGGAATATTCAACTTTGTGACTTGAATGCAAACATCACAAAGCAGTTTATGAGAATGCTTCCGTCTAGATTTTATATGAAGATATTCCCGTTTCCAACGAAATCTTCAAAGCTATCTAAATATCAACTTGCAGATTCTACTAAAGGAATGTCTCCAAAATGCTGTATCCAAACAAAGGTTCAGCTCTGTGAATTGAGGACATACAGCACAAAGAAGTTTCTGAGAATGCTCTTGTCTGGATTTTATATGAAGATAACCCATTTCCAACGAAATCCTCAAAGCTCTCCAAATATCCACTTGCAGATTCTACCAAAAGAGTGTTTCAAAACTGCTCTGTCAAAAGGAAGGTTCAACACTGTTACTTGAGTACACACAACACAAAGAAGTTTCTGAGAATGCTTCTTTCTGGTTTTTATGAGAAGATATTTCCTTTTTCACCATAGGCCTCAAAGCGCCCGAAATGTCCGCTTCCAGGTAGTGCAGAAAGAGTGTTTCAAACCTGCTCTATGAAAGGAAGTGTTCAACCCTACTGAGTTGAATGCAAACATCACAGAGATGTTTCCGAGAATGCTTCTGTCTTGATTTTATATGAAGCATATTCCGGTTTCCAACGAAATCTTCAAAGCTATCCAAATATCCACCTGCAGATTCTACAAAAGGAGTGTTTCCAAAATGCTGTATCAAAACAAAGGTTCAACTCTGTTAGTTGAGGACACACATCACAAATAAGTTTCTGAGAATGCTTCTGTCTAGTTTTTATTTGAAGGTATTTCCTTTCTCTCCATAGGCCTGAAAGCGCTTGAAATGCCCACTTCCAGATACTAGAGAAAGAGTGTTTCAAACCTGCTCTATGAAAGGGAATGTTCAATTCTGTGACTTGAATGCAAACATCACAAAGAAGTTCCTGAGAATGCTTCTCTCTAGATATTATATGTCATCCCGTTTCCAACGAAATCCTCAAAGCTATCCAAATATCCACTTGCAGATTCTACAAAAAGAGTGTTTCAAAACTGCTCTGTCAAAAGGATGGTTCAACACTGTTACATGAGTACACACAACACAAAGAAGTTTCTGAGAATGCTTCTTTCTGGTTTCTATGAGAAGATATTTCCTTTTTCACCATAGGACTCAAAGCGCTCGAATTGTCCTCTTCCAGGTAGTGCAGAAAGAGTGTTTCAAACCTGCTCTATGAAAGGAAGTGTACAACTCCATGAGCTGAATGCAAACATCACTGAGAAGTTTCTGAGAATGCTTCTGTTTGATTTTATATGAAGAAATTCCCGTTTCCAACGAAATCTTCAGAGCTATCCACATATCCACCTGCAGATTCTACAAAAGGAGTGTTTCCAAAATGCTGTATCAAAACCAAGGTTCAACTCTGTTAGTTGAGGACACACATCACAAATAAGTTTCTGAGAATGCTTCTGTCTAGATTTTATATGAAGATATCCCCTTTCCAACGAATCCCTCTAAGCTATCCAAATATCCACCTGCAGATTCTACAAAAAGAGTGTTTCCAAAATGCTGTATCAAAACAAAGTTTCAACTCTGTTAGTTGAGGACACACATCACAAATAAGTTTCTGAGGATGCTTCTGTCTAGTTTTTATTCGAAGATATTTCCTTTCTCACCATAGGCCTGAAAGCGCTTGAAATATCCACTTCCAGATACTACAGAATGAGTGTTTCAAACCTGCTCTATAAAAGTGAATGTTCAATTCCGTGACTTCAATGCAAACATCAGAAAGAAGTTCCTGAGAATGCTTCTCTCTAGATTTTATACGTAATCCCGCTTCCAACGAAATCCTCAGAGCCATCCGAATATCCACTTTCTGATTCCACAAAAAGAGTGTTTTAAAACGGCTCTGTAAAAACAAAAGTTCAACTCTGTTAGTTGAATACACACATCACAAACAAGTTTCTGAGAATGCTTCTGTCTAGTTTTTATGGGAAGATATTTCCTTTTTCACCATAGGCCTCAAAGCGCTCGAAATGTCCGCTTCCAGATAGTGCAGAAAGAGTGTTTCAAACGTGCTCTATAAAAGGGAATATTCAACTCTGTGACTTGAATGGAAACATCACAAAGCAGTTTCTGAGAATGCTTCCCTCTAGATTTTATATGGAGATATTCCCTTTTCCAACGAAATCTTCAAATCTATCTAAATATCAACTTGCAGATTCTACTCAAGGAATGTTTCCAAAATGCTGTATCCAGGCAATGGTTCAACTCTGTTAATTGAGGACATACAGCACAAAGAAGTTTCTGAGAATGCTTCTGTCTAGATTTTATATGAAGATATCCCGTTTCCAACGAAATCCTCAAAGCTATCCAAATATCCACTTGCAGATTCTACAAAAAGATTGTTTCAAAACTGCTGTGTCAAGAGGAAGGTTCAACTCTGTTACTTGAGTACACACATCAAAAAGAAGTTTCTGAGAATGCTTGTTTCTGGTTTTTATGAGAAGATATTTCCTTTTTCACCATAGGCCTCAAAGCGCTGCAAATGTCCACTTCCAAATATTACAAAAAGAGTGTTTCAAACCTGCTCTATGAAAGGAAGTTTTCAACTCTATGAGTGGAATGCAAACATCACAGAGAAGTTTCTGAGAACGCATCTGTCTTGAGCTTCTATGAAGAAATTCCCGTTTCCAACGAAATCTTAAAATCTATCCAAATATCCACCTGCAGATCCTACAAAAGGAGTGTTTCCAAAATGCTGTATCAAAACAAAGGTTCAACTGTGTTCGTTTAGGACACACATCACAAATAAGTTTCTGAGAATCCTTCTGTCTGGTTTTTATTTGAAGAGATTTCCTTTCTCCCCGTAGGCCTGAAAGCGCTTGAAATGTCCACTTCCAGATACTACAGAAAGAGTGTTTCAAACCTGCACTCTGAAAAGGAATGTTCAATTCTGTGACTTGAATGCAAACATCAGAAAGAAGTTCCTGAGAATGCTTCTCTCTAGATTTTATACGTCATCCCGTTTCCAACGAAATCCACAAAGCTATCCAATTATCCACTTTCAGATTCCACAAAGAGTGTTTTAAAATTGCTCTGTAACAGAAATGTTCAACTCTGTTAGTTGAATACACACATCACAAACAAGTTTCTGAGACGGCTTCTGTCTAGTTTTTATGGGAAGATATTTCCTTTTAACCATAGGCCTCAAAGAGCTCGAAATATCCACTTCCTGGTAGTGCCGAAAGAGTGTTTCAAACCTACTCTATAAAAGGGAATATTCAACTCTGTGACTTGAATGCAAACATCACAAAGCAGTTTCTGAGAATGCTTCCGTCTAGATTTTCTATGAAGATATTCCCGTTTCCAACGAAATCTTCAAAGCTATCTAAATATCAACTTGCAGATTCTACTAAAGGAATGTCTCCAAAATGCTGTATCCAAACAAAGGTTCAGCTCTGTGAATTGAGGACATACAGCACAAAGAAGTTTCTGAGAATGCTCCTGTCTGGTATTTTATATGAAGATAACCCGTTTCCAACGAAATCCTCAAAGCTATCCAAATATCCACTTGCAGATTCTACCAAAAGAGTGTTTCAAAACTGCTCTGTCAAAAGGAAGGTTCAACACTGTTACTTGAGTACACACAACACAAAGAAGTTTCTGAGAATGCTTCTTTCTGGTTTTTATGAGAAGATATTTCCTTTTTCACCATAGGCCTCAAAGCGCTCGAAATGTCCGCTTCCAGGTAGTGCAGAAAGAGTGTTTCAAACCTGCTCTATGAAAGGAAGTGTTCAACTCTACTGAGTTGAATGCAAACATCACAGAGATGTTTCCGAGAATGCTTCTGTCTTGATTTTATAGGAAGATATTCCGGTTTCCAACGAAATCTTCAAAGCTATCCAAATATCCACCTGCAGATTCTACAAAAGGAGTGTTTCCAAAATGCTGTATCAAAACAAAGGTTCAACTCTGTTAGTTGAGGACACACATCACAAATAAGCTTCTGAGAATGCTTCTGTCTAGTTTTTATTTGAAGGTATTTCCTTTCTCTCCATAGGCCTGAAAGCGCTTGAAATGCCCACTTCCAGATACTAGAGAAAGAGTGTTTCAAACCTGTCGCTTCTATGAAAGGGAATGTTCAATTCTGTGACTTGAATGCAAACATCACAAAGAAGTTCCTGAGAATGCTTCTCTCTAGATATTATATGTCATCCCGTTTCCAACGAAATCCTCAAAGCTATCCAAATATCCACTTGCAGATTCTACAAAAAGAGTGTTTCAAAACTGCTCTGTCAAAAGGATGGTTCAACACTGTTACATGAGTACACACAACACAAAGAAGTTTCTGAGAATGTTTCTTTCTGGTTTCTATGAGAAGATATTTCCTTTTTCACCATAGGACTCAAAGCGCTCGAAATGTCCTCTTCCAGGTAGTGCAGAAAGAGTGTTTCAAACCTGCTCTATGAAAGGAAGTGTACAACTCCATGAGCTGAATGCAAACATCACTGAGAAGTTTCTGAGAATGCTTCTGTTTGATTTTATATGAAGAAATTCCCGTTTCCAACGAAATCTTCAGAGCTATCCACATATCCACCTGCAGATTCTACAAAAGGAGTGTTTCCAAAATGCTGTATCAAAACCAAGGTTCAACTCTGTTAGTTGAGGACACACATCACAAATAAGTTTGCTGAGAATGCTTCTGTCTAGATTTTATATGAAGATATCCCCTTTCCAACGAATCCCTCTAAGCTATCCAAATATCCACCTGCAGATTCTACAAAAAGAGTGTTTCCAAAATGCTGTATCAAAACAAAGGTTCAACTCTGTTAGTTGAGGACACACATCACAAATAAGTTTGAGGATGCTTCTGTCTAGTTTTTATTCGAAGATATTTCCTTTCTCACCATAGGCCTGAAAGCGCTTGAAATGTCCACTTCCAGATACTACAGAATGAGTGTTTCAAACCTGCTCTATAAAAGTGAATGTTCAATTCTGTGACTTCAATGCAAACATCAGAAAGAAGTTCCTGAGAATGCTTCTCTCTAGATTTTATATGTAATCCCGCTTCCAACGAAATCCTCAGAGCCATCCGAATATCCACTTTCTGATCCCACAAAAAGAGTGTTTTAAAACGGCTCTGTAAAAACAAAAGTTCAACTCTGTTAGTTGAATACACACATCACAAACAAGTTTCTGAGAATGCTTCTGTCTAGTTTTTATGGGAAGATATTTCCTTTTTCACCATAGGCCTCAAAGCGCTCGAAATGTCCGCTTCCAGATAGTGCAGAAAGAGTGTTTCAAACGTGCTCTATAAAAGAGAATATTCAACTCTGTGACTTGAATGGAAACATCACAAAGCAGTTTCTGAGAATGCTTCCCTCTAGATTTTATATGGAGATATTCCCTTTTCCAACGAAATCTTCAAATCTATCTAAATATCAACTTGCAGATTCTACTCAAGGAATGTTTCCAAAATGCTGTATCCAGGCAATGGTTCAACTCTGTTAATTGAGGACATACAGCACAAAGAAGTTTCTGAGAATGCTTCTGTCTAGATTTTATATGAAGATATCCCGTTTCCAACGAAATCCTCAAAGCTATCCAAATATCCACTTGCAGATTCTACAAAAAGATTGTTTCAAAACTGCTGTGTCAAGAGGAAGGATCAACTCTGTTACTTGAGTACACACATCAAAAAGAAGTTTCTGAGAATGCTTGTTTCTGGTTTTTATGAGAAGATATTTCCTTTTTCACCATAGGCCTCAAAGCGCTGCAAATGTCCACTTCCAAATATTACAAAAAGAGTGTTTCAAACCTGCTCTATGAAAGGAAGTTTTCAACTCTATGAGTGGAATGCAAACATCACAGAGAAGTTTCTGAGAATGCATCTGTCTTGAGCTTCTATGAAGAAATTCCCGTTTCCAACGAAATCTTAAAATCTATCCAAATATCCACCTGCAGATCCTACAAAAGGAGTGTTTCCAAAATGCTGTATCAAAACAAAGGTTCAACTGTGTTCGTTTAGGACACACATCACAAATAAGTTTCTGAGAATCCTTCTCTCTAGTTTTTATTTGAAGATATTTCCTTTCTCCCCGTAGGCCTGAAAGCGCTTGAAATGTCCACTTCCAGATACTACAGAAAGAGTGTTTCAAACCTGCACTCTGAAAAGGAATGTTCAATTCTGTGACTTGAATGCAAACATCAGAAAGAAGTTCCTGAGAATGCTTCTCTCTAGATTTTATACGTCATCCCGTTTCCAACGAAATCCACAAAGCTATCCAATTATCCACTTTCAGATTCCACAAAAAGAGTGTTTTAAATTGCTCTGTAACAGAAATGTTCAACTCTGTTAGTTGAATACACACATCACAAACAAGTTTCTGAGACGGCTTCTGTCTAGTTTTTATGGGAAGATATTTCCTTTTAACCATAGGCCTCAAAGAGCTCGAAATATCCACTTCCAGGTAGTGCCGAAAGAGTGTTTCAAACCTACTCTATAAAAGGGAATATTCAACTCTGTGACTTGAATGCAAACATCACAAAGCAGTTTCTGAGAATGCTTCCGTCTAGATTTTCTATGAAGATATTCCCGTTTCCAACGAAATCTTCAAAGCTATCTAAATATCAACTTGCAGATTCTACTAAAGGAATGTCTCCAAAATGCTGTATCCAAACAAAGGTTCAGCTCTGTGAGTTGAGGACATACAGCACAAAGAAGTTTCTGAGAATGCTCCTGTCTGGATTTTATAGGAAGATAACCCGTTTCCAACGAAATCCTCAAAGCTATCCAAATATCCACTCACAGATTCTACCAAAAGAGTGTTTCAAAACTGCTCTGTCAAAAGGAAGGTTCAACACTGTTACTTGAGTACACACAACACAAAGAAGTTTCTGAGAATGCTTCTTTCTGGTTTTTATGAGAAGATATTTCCTTTTTCACCATAGGCCTCAAAGCGCTCGAAATGTCCGCTTCCAGGTAGTGCAGAAAGAGTGTTTCAAACCTGCTCTATGAAAGGAAGTGTTCAACTCTACTGAGTTGAATGCAAACATCACAGAGATGTTTCCGAGAATGCTTCTGTCTTGATTTTATATGAAGATATTCCGGTTTCCAACGAAATCTTCAAAGCTATCCAAATATCCACCTGCAGATTCTACAAAAGGAGTGTTTCCAAAATGCTGTATCAAAACAAAGGTTCAACTCTGTTAGTTGAGGACACACATCACAAATAAGTTTCTGAGAATGCTTCTGTCTAGTTTTTATTTGAAGGTATTTCCTTTCTCTCCATAGGCCTGAAAGCGCTTGAAATGCCCACTTCCAGATACTAGAGAAAGAGTGTTTCAAACCTGCTCTATGAAAGGGAATGTTCAATTCTGTGACTTGAATGCAAACATCACAAAGAAGTTCCTGAGAATGCTTCTCTCTAGATATTATATGTCATCCCGTTTCCAACGAAATCCTCAAAGCTATCCAAATATCCACTTGCAGATTCTACAAAAAGAGTGTTTCAAAACTGCTCTGTCAAAAGGATGGTTCAACACTGTTACATGAGTACACACAACACAAAGAAGTTTCTGAGAATGCTTCTTTCTGGTTTCTATGAGAAGATATTTCCTTTTTCACCATAGGACTCAAAGCGCTCGAAATGTCCTCTTCCAGGTAGTGCAGAAAGAGTGTTTCAAACCGGCTCTATGAAAGGAAGTGTTCAACTCCATGAACTGAATGCAAACATCACTGAGAAGTTTCTGAGAATGCTTCTGTTTGATTTTATATGAAGAAATTCCCGTTTCCAACGAAATCTTCAGAGCTATCCACATATCCACCTGCAGATTCTACAAAAGGAGTGTTTCCAAAATGCTGTATCAAAACCAAAGTTCAACTCTGTTAGTTGAGGACACACATCACAAATAAGTTTCTGAGAATGCTTCTGTCTAGATTCTATATGAAGATATCCCCTTTCCAACGAATCCCTCTAAGCTATCCAAATATCCACCTGCAGATTCTACAAAAAGAGTGTTTCCAAAATGCTGTATCAAAACAAAGTTTCAACTCTGTTAGTTGAGGACACACATCACAAATAAGTTTGAGGATGCTTCTGTCTAGTTTTTATTCGAAGATATTTCCTTTCTCACCATAGGCCTGAAAGCGCTTGAAATGTCCACTTCCAGATACTACAGAATGAGTGTTTCAAACCTGCTCTATCAAAGTGAATGTTCAATTCTGTGACTTCAATGCAAACATCACAAAGAAGTTCCTGAGAATGCTTCTCTCTAGATTTTATATGTAATCCCGCTTCCAACGAAATCCTCAGAGCCATCCGAATATCCACTTTCTGATTCCACAAAAAGAGTGTTTTAAAACGGCTCTGTAAAAACAAAAGTTCAACTCTGTTAGTTGAATACACACATCACAAACAAGTTTCTGAGAATGCTTCTGTCTAGTTTTTATGGGAAGATATTTCCTTTTTCACCATAGGCCTCACAGCGCTCGAAATGTCCACTTCCAGATAGCGCAGAAAGAGTGTTTCAAACGTGCTCTATAAAAGGGAATATTCAACTCTGTGACTTGAATGGAAACATCACAAAGCAGTTTCTGAGAATGCTTCCCTCTAGATTTTATATGGAGATATTCCGTTTTCGAACGAAATCTTCAAATCTATCTAAATATCAACTTGCAGATTCTACTCAAGGAATGTTTCCAAAATGCTGTATGCAAGCAATGGTTCAACTCTGTTAATTGAGGTCATACAGCACAAAGAAGTTTCTGAGAATGCTTCTGTCTAGATTTTATATGAAGATATCCCGTTTCCAACGAAATCCTCAAAGCTATCCAAATATCCACTTGCAGATTCTACAAAAAGATTGTTTCAAAACTGCTGTGTCAAAAGGAAGGTTCAACTCTGTTACTTGAGTACACACATCAAAAAGAAGTTTCTGAGAATGCTTGTTTCTGGTTTTTATGAGAAGATATTTCCTTTTTCACCATAGGCCTCAAAGCGCTGCAAATGTCCACTTCCAAATATTACAAAAAGAGTGTTTCAAACCTGCTCTATGAAAGGAAGTTTTCAACTCTATGAGTGGAATGCACACATCACAGAGAAGTTTCTGAGAATGCATCTGTCTTGAGTTTCTATGCAGAAATTCCCGTTTCCAACGAAATCTTAAAATCTATCCAAATATCCACCTGCAGATCCTACAAAAGGAGTGTTTCCAAAATGCTGTATCAAAACAAAGGTTCAACTGTGTTCGTTTAGGACACACATCACAAATAAGTTTCTGAGAATCCTTCTGTCTAGTTTTTATTTGAAGATATTTCCTTTCTCCCCGTAGGCCTGAAAGCGCTTGAAATGTCCACTTCCAGATACTACAGAAAGAGTGTTTCAAACCTGCACTCTGAAAAGGAATGTTCAATTCTGTGACTTGAATGCAAACATCAGAAAGAAGTTCCTGAGAATGCTTCTCTCTAGATTTTATACGTCATCCCGTTTCCAACGAAATCCACAAAGCTATCCAATTATCCACTTTCAGATTCCACAGAAAGAGTGTTTTAAAATTGCTCTGTAACAGAAATGTTCAACTCTGGTAGTTGAATACACACATCACAAACAAGTTTCTGAGACGGCTTCTGTCTAGTTTTTATGGGAAGATATTTCCTTTTAACCATAGGCCTCAAAGAGCTCGAAATATCCACTTCCAGGTAGTGCCGAAAGAGTGTTTCAAACCTACTCTATAAAAGGGAATATTCAACTCTGTGACTTGAATGCAAACATCACAAAGCAGTTTCTGAGAATGCTTCCGTCTAGATTTTCTATGAAGATATTCCCGTTTCCAACGAAATCTTCAAAGCTATCTAAATATCAACTTGCAGATTCTACTAAAGGAATGTCTCCAAAATGCTGTATCCAAACAAAGGTTCAGCTCTGTGAATTGAGGACATACAGCACAAAGAAGTTTCTGAGAATGCTCCTGTCTGGATTTTATATGAAGATAACCCGTTTCCAACGAAATCCTCAAAGCTATCCAAATATCCACTTGCAGATTCTACCAAAAGAGTGTTTCAAAACTGCTCTGTCAAAAGGAAGGTTCAACACTGTTACTTGAGTACACACAACACAAAGAAGTTTCTGAGAATGCTTCTTTCTGGTTTTTATGAGAAGATATTTCCTTTTTCACCATAGGCCTCAAAGAGCTCGAAATGTCCGCTTCCAGGTAGGGCAGAAAGAGTGTTTCAAACCTGCTCTATGAAAGGACGTGTTCAACTCTACTGAGTTGAATGCAAACATCACAGAGATGTTTCCGAGAATGCTTCTGTCTTGATTTTATAGGAAGATATTCCGGTTTCCAACGAAATCTTCAAAGCTATCCACATATCCACCTGCAGATTCTACAAAAGGAGTGTTTCCAAAATGCTGTATCAAAACAAAGGTTCAACTCTGTTAGTTGAGGACACACATCACAAATAAGTTTCTGAGAATGCTTCTGTCTAGTTTTTATTTGAAGGTATTTCCTTTCTCTCCATAGGCCTGAAAGCGCTTGAAATGCCCACTTCCAGATACTAGAGAAAGAGTGTTTCAAACCTGCTCTATGAAAGGGAATGTTCAATTCTGTGACTTGAATGCAAACATCACAAAGAAGTTCCTGAGAATGCTTCTCTCTAGATATTATATGTCATCCCGTTTCCAACGAAATCCTCAAAGCTATCCAAATATCCACTTGCAGATTCTACAAAAAGAGTGTTTCAAAACTCCTCTGTCAAAAGGATGGTTCAACACTGTTACATGAGTACACACAACACAAAGAAGTTTCTGAGAATGCTTCTTTCTGGTTTCTATGAGAAGATATTTCCTTTTTCACCATAGGACTCAAAGCGCTCGAAATGTCCTCTTCCAGGTAGTGCAGAAAGAGTGTTTCAAACCTGCTCTATGAAAGGAAGTGTACAACTCCATGAGCTGAATGCAAACATCACTGAGAAGTTTCTGAGAATGCTTCTGTTTGATTTTATATGAAGAAATTCCCGTTTCCAACGAAATCTTCAGAGCTATCCACATATCCACCTGCAGATTCTACAAAAGGAGTGTTTCCAAAATGCTGTATCAAAACCAAGGTTCAACTCTGTTAGTTGAGGACACACATCACAAATAAGTTTCTGAGAATGCTTCTGTCTAGATTTTATATGAAGATATCCCCTTTCCAACGAATCCCTCTAAGCTATCCAAATATCCACCTGCAGATTCTACAAAAAGAGTGTTTCCAAAATGCTGTATCAAAACAAAGTTTCAACTCTGTTAGTTGAGGACACACATCACAAATAAGTTTCTGAGAATGCTTCTGTCTAGTTTTTATTCGAAGATATTTCCTTTCTCACCATAGGCCTGAAAGCGCTTGAAATGTCCACTTCCAGATCCTACAGAATGAGTGTTTCAAACCTGCTCTATCAAAGTGAATGTTCAATTCTGTGACTTCAATGCAAACATCACAAAGAAGTTCCTGAGAATGCTTCTCTCTAGATTTTATACGTAATCCCGCTTCCAACGAAATCCTCAGAGCCATCCGAATATCCACTTTCTGATTCCACAAAAAGAGTGTTTTAAAACGGCTCTGTAAAAACAAAAGTTCAACTCTGTTAGTTGAATACACACATCACAAACAAGTTTCTGAGAATGCTTCTGTCTAGTTTTTATGGGAAGATATTTCCTTTTTCACCATAGGCCTCAAAGCGCTCGAAATGTCCACTTCCAGATAGTGCAGAAAGAGTGTTTCAAACGTGCTCTATAAAAGGGAATATTCAACTCTGTGACTTGAATGGAAACATCACAAAGCAGTTTCTGAGAATGCTTCCCTCTAGATTTTATATGGAGATATTCCCTTTTCCAACGAAATCTTCAAATCTATCTAAATATCAACTTGCAGATTCTACTCAAGGAATGTTTCCAAAATGCTGTATCCAAGCAATGGTTCAACTCTGTTAATTGAGGACATACAGCACAAAGAAGTTTCTGAGAATGCTTCTGTCTAGATTTTTATATGAAGATATCCCGTTTCCAACGAAATCCTCAAAGCTATCCAAATATCCACTTGCAGATTCTACAAAAAGATTGTTTCAAAACTGCTGTGTCAAGAGGAAGGTTCAACTCTGTTACTTGAGTACACACATCAAAAAGAAGTTTCTGAGAATGCTTGTTTCTGGTTTTTATGAGAAGATATTTCCTTTTTCACCATAGGCCTCAAAGCGCTGCAAATGTCCACTTCCAAATATTACAAAAAGAGTGTTTCAAACCTGCTCTATGAAAGGAAGTTTTCAACTCTATGAGTGGAATGCACACATCACAGAGAAGTTTCTGAGAATGCATCTGTCTTGAGTTTCTATGCAGAAATTCCCGTTTCCAACGAAATCTTAAAATCTATCCAAATATCCACCTGCAGATCCTACAAAAGGAGTGTTTCCAAAATGCTGTATCAAAACAAAGGTTCAACTGTGTTCGTTTAGGACACACATCACAAATAAGTTTCTGAGAACCCTTCTGTCTAGTTTTTATTTGAAGATATTTCCTTTCTCCCCGTAGGCCTGAAAGCGCTTGAAATGTCCACTTCCAGATACTACAGAAAGAGTGTTTCAAACCTGCACTCTGAAAAGGAATGTTCAATTCTGTGACTTGAATGCAAACATCAGAAAGAAGTTCCTGAGAATGCTTCTCTCTAGATTTTATACGTCATCCCGTTTCCAACGAAATCCACAAAGCTATCCAATTATCCACTTTCAGATTCCACAGAAAGAGTGTTTTAAAATTGCTCTGTAACAGAAATGTTCAACTCTGGTAGTTGAATACACACATCACAAACAAGTTTCTGAGACGGCTTCTGTCTAGTTTTTATGGGAAGATATTTCCTTTTAACCATAGGCCTCAAAGAGCTCGAAATATCCACTTCCAGGTAGTGCCGAAAGAGTGTTTCAAACCTACTCTATAAAAGGGAATATTCAACTCTGTGACTTGAATGCAAACATCACAAAGCAGTTTCTGAGAATGCTTCCGTCTAGATTTTTTATGAAGATATTCCCGTTTCCAACGAAATCTTCAAAGCTATCTAAATATCAACTTGCAGATTCTACTAAAGGAATGTTTCCAAAATGCTGTATCCAAACAAAGTTCAACTCTGTGAATTGAGGACATACAGCACAAAGAAGTTTCTGAGAATGCTCCTGTCTGGATTTTATAGGAAGATAACCCGTTTCCAACGAAATCCTCAAAGCTATCCAAATATCCACTTGCAGATTCTACCAAAAGAGTGTTTCAAAACTACTCTGTCAAAAGGAAGGTTCAACACTGTTACTTGAGTACACACAACACAAAGAAGTTTCTGAGAATGCTTCTTTCTGGTTTTTATGAGAAGATATTTCCTTTTTCACCATAGGCCTCAAAGCGCTCGAAATGTCCGCTTCCAGGTAGTGCAGAAAGAGTGTTTCAAACCTGCTCTATGAAAGGAAGTGTTCAACTCTACTGAGTTGAATGCAAACATCACAGAGATGTTTCCGAGAATGCTTCTGTCTTGATTTTATATGAAGATATTCCGGTTTCCAACGAAATCTTCAAAGCTATCCAAATATCCACCTGCAGATTCTACAAAAGGAGTGTTTCCAAAATGCTGTATCAAAACAAAGGTTCAACTCTGTTAGTTGAGGACACACATCACAAATAAGTTTCTGAGAATGCTTCTGTCTAGATTTTATATGAAGATATCCCCTTTCCAACGAATCCCTCTAAGCTATCAAAATATCCACCTGCAGATTCTACAAAAAGAGTGTTTCCAAAATGCTGTATCAAAACAAAGTTTTAACTCTGTTAGTTGAGGACACACATCACAAATAAGTTTCTGAGGATGCTTCTGTCTAGTTTTTATTCGAAGATATTTCCTTTCCCACCATAGGCCTGAAAGCGCTTGAAATGTCCACTTCCAGATACTACAGAATGAGTGTTTCAAACCTGCTCTATCAAAGTGAATGTTCAATTCTGTGACTTCAATGCAAACATCACAAAGAAGTTCCTGAGAATGCTTCTCTCTAGATTTTATATGTAATCCCGCTTCCAACGAAATCCTCAGAGCCATCCGAATATCCACTTTCTGATTCCACAAAAAGAGTGTTTTAAAACGGCTCTGTAAAAACAAAAGTTCAACTCTGTTAGTTGAATACACACATCACAAACAAGTTTCTGAGAATGCTTCTGTCTAGTTTTTATGGGAAGATATTTCCTTTTTCACCATAGGCCTCAAAGCGCTCGAAATGTCCACTTCCAGATAGTGCAGAAAGAGTGTTTCAAACGTGCTCTATAAAAGGGAATATTCAACTCTGTGACTTGAATGGAAACATCACAAAGCAGTTTCTGAGAATGCTTCCCTCTAGATTTTATATGGAGATATTCCCTTTTCCAACGAAATCTTCAAATCTATCTAAATATCAACTTGCAGATTCTACTCAAGGAATGTTTCCAAAATGCTGTATCCAAGCAATGGTTCAACTCTGTTAATTGAGGACATACAGCACAAAGAAGTTTCTGAGAATGCTTCTGTCTAGATTTTATATGAAGATATCCCGTTTCCAACGAAATCCTCAAAGCTATCCAAATATCCACTTGCAGATTCTACAAAAAGATTGTTTCAAAACTGCTGTGTCAAAAGGAAGGTTCAACTCTGTTACTTGAGTACACACATCAAAAAGAAGTTTCTGAGAATGCTTGTTTCTGGTTTTTATGAGAAGATATTTCCTTTTTCACCATAGGCCTCAAAGCGCTGCAAATGTCCACTTCCAAATATTACAAAAAGAGTGTTTCAAACCTGCTCTATGAAAGGAAGTTTTCAACTCTATGAGTGGAATGCAAACATCACAGAGAAGTTTCTGAGAATGCATCTGTCTTGAGCTTCTATGAAGAAATTCCCGTTTCCAACGAAATTTTAAAATCTATCCAAATATCCACCTGCAGATCCTACAAAAGGAGTGTTTCCAAAATGCTGTATCAAAACAAAGGTTCAACTGTGTTCGTTTAGGACACACATCACAAATAAGTTTCTGAGAATCCTTCTGTCTAGTTTTTATTTGAAGATATTTCCTTTCTCCCCGTAGGCCTGAAAGCGCTTGAAATGTCCACTTCCAGATACTACAGAAAGAGTGTTTCAAACCTGCACTCTGAAAAGGAATGTTCAATTCTGTGACTTGAATGCAAACATCAGAAAGAAGTTCCTGAAAATGCTTCTCTCTAGATTTTAAACGTCATCCCGTTTCCAACGAAATCCACAAAGCTATCCAATTATCCACTTTCAGATTCCACCAAAAGAGTGTTTTAAAACTGCTCTGTAAAAAGAAATATTCAACGCTCTTAGTTGAATACACACATCTCAAACAAGTTTCTAAGAAGGCTTCCGTCTAGTTTTTATGGGAAGATATTTCCTTTTTCACCATAGGCCTCAAAGCGCTCGAAATCTCCACTTCCAGGGAGTGCAGAAAGAGTGTTTCAAACCTGCTCTGTAAAAGAATATTTAACTCTGTGACTTGAATGCAAACATCACAGAGCAGTTTCTGACAATGCTTCCGTCTAGATTTTTTATGAAGATATTCCCGTTTCCAACGAAATCTTCAAAGCTATCTAAATATCAACTTGCAGATTCTACTAAAGGAATGTTTCCAAAATGCTGTATCCAAACAAAGGTTCAGCTCTGTGAATTGAGGACATACAGCACAAAGAAGTTTCTGAGAATGCTTCTGTCTAGATTTAATATGAAGATAACCCGTTTCCAACGAAATCCTCAAAGCTATCCAAATATCCACTTGCAGATTCTACAAAAAGAGTGTTTCAAAACTGCTCTGTCAAAAGGATGGTTCAACACTGTTACATGAGTACACACAACACAAAGAAGTTTCTGAGAACGCTTCTTTCTGGTTTTTATGAGAGGATATTTCCTTTTTCACCATAGGCCTCAAAGCGCTCGAAATGTCCACTTCTAGGTAGTGCAGAAAGAGTGTTTCAAACCTGCTCTATGAAAGGAAGTGTTCAACTCCATGAGCTGAATGCAAACATCACAGAGAAGTTTCTGAGAATGCTTCTGTTTGATTTTATATGAAGAAATTCCCGTTTCCAACGAAATCTTCAAAGCTATCCACATATCCACCTGCAGATTCTTCAAAAGCAGTGTTTCCAAAATGCTGTATCAAAACCAAGGTTCAACTCTGTTAGTTGAGGACACACATCACAAATAAGTTTCTGAGAATGCTTCTGTCTAGATTTTATATGAAGATATCCCCTTTCCAACGAATCCCTCTAAGCTATCCAAGTATCCACCTGCAGATTCTACAAAAAGAGTGTTTCCAAAATGCTGTATCAAAACAAAGTTTCAACTCTGTTAGTTGAGGACACACATCACAAATAAGTTTCTGAGGATGCTTCTGTCTAGTTTTAATTTGAAGATATTTCCTTTCTCCCCATAGGCCTGAAAGCGCTTGAAATGTCCACTTCCAGATACTACAGAATGAGTGTTTCAAACCTGCTCTATCAAAGTGAATGTTCAATTCTGTGACTTCAATGCAAACATCACAAAGTAGTTCCTGAGAATGCTTCTCTCTAGATTTTATATGTAATCCCGCTTCCAACGAAATCCTCAAAGCCATCCGAATATCCACTTTCTGATTCCACAAAAAGATTGTTTTAAAACTGCTCTGTAAAAACAAAAGTTCAAGTCTGTTAGTTGAATACACACATCACAAACAAGTTTCTGAGAATGCTTCTGTCTAGTTTTTATGGGAAGATATTTCCTTTTTCACCATAGGCCTCACAGCGCTCGAAATGTCCACTTCCAGATAGTGCAGAAAGAGTGTTTCAAACGTGCTCTATAAAAGAGAATATTCAAATCTGTGACTTGAATGGAAACATCACAAAGCAGTTTCTGAGAATGCCTCCGTCTAGATTTTATATGAAGATATTCCCGTTTCCAACGAAATCTTCAAATCTATCTAAATATCAACTTGCAGATTCTACTAAAGGAATGTTTCCAAAATGCTGTATCCAAGCAATGGTTCAACTCTGTTAATTGAGGACATACAGCACAAAGAAGTTTCTGAGAATGCTTCTGTCTAGATTTTATATGAAGATATCCCGTTTCCAACGAAATCCTCAAAGCTATCCAAATATCCACTTGCAGATTCTACAAAAAGATTGTTTCAAAACTGCTGTGTCAAAAGGAAGGTTCAACTCTGTTACTTGAGTACACACATCAAAAAGAAGTTTCTGAGAATGCTTGTTTCTGGTTTTTATGAGAAGATATTTCCTTTTTCACCATAGGCCTCAAAGCGCTGCAAATGTCCACTTCCAAATATTACAAAAAGAGTGTTTCAAACCTGCTCTATGAAAGGAAGTTTTCAACTCTATGAGTGGAATGCAAACATCACAGAGAAGTTTCGGAGAATGCATCTGTCTTGAGTTTATATGAAGAAATTCCCGTTTCCAACGAAATCTTAAAATCTATCCAAATATCCACCTGCAGATTCTACAAAGGGAGTGTTTCCAAAATGCTGTATCAAAACAAAGGTTCAACTGTGTTCGTTTAGGACACACATCACCAATAAGTTTCTGAAAATCCTTCTGTCTAGTTTTTATTTGAAGATATTTCCTTTCTCCCCATAGGCCTGAAAGCGCTTGAAATGTCCACTTCCAGATAATACAGAAAGAGTGTTTCAAACCTGCACTATGAAAAGGAATGTTCAATTCTGTGACTTGAATGCAAACATCAGAAAGAAGTTCCTGAGAATGCTTCTCTCTAGATTTTACATGAAATCCCGCTTCCAGCGAAATCCTCAAAGCCATCCGAATATCCACTTTCTGATTCCACAAAAAGATTGTCTTAAAACTGCTCTGTAAAAACAAAAGTTCAAGTCTGTTAGTTGAATACACACATCATAAACAAGTTTCTGAGAATGCTTCCGTCTAGTTTTTATGGGAAGATATTTCCTTTTTCACCATAGGCCTCAAAGCACTCGAAATCTCCACTTCCAGGGAGTGCAGAAAGAGTGTTTCAAACCTGCTCTGTAAAAGAATATTTAACTCTGTGACTTGAATGCAAACATCACAAAGCAGTTTCTGACAATGCTTCCGTCTAGATTTTTTATGAAGATATTCCCGTTTCCAACGAAATCTTCAAAGCTATCTAAATATCAACTTGCAGATTCTACTAAAGGAATGTTTCCAAAATGCTGTATCCAAGCAATGGTTCAACTCTGTTAATTGAGGACATACAGCACAAAGAAGTTTCTGAGAATGCTTCTGTCTAGATTTTATATGAAGATATCCCATTTCCAACGAAATCCTCAAAGCTATCCAAATATCCACTTGCAGATTCTACAAAAAGATTGTTTCAAAACTGCTCTGTCAAAAGGATGGTTCAACACTGTTACATGAGTACACACAACACAAAGAAGTTTCTGAGAACGCTTCTTTCTGGTTTTTATGAGAAGATATTTCCTTTTTCACCATAAGCCTCAAAGCGCTCGAAATGTCCACTTCCTGGTAGTGCAGAAAGAGTTTTTCAAACCTGCTCTATGAAAGGAAGTGTTCAACTCCATGAGCTGAATGCAAACATCACAGAGAAGTTTCTGAGAATGCTTCTGTTTGATTTTATATGAAGAAATTCCCGTTTCCAACGAAATCTTCAAAGCTATCCACATATCCACCTGCAGATTCTACAAAAGGAGTGTTTCCAAAATGCTGTATCAAAACCAAGGTTCCACTCTGTTAGTTGAGGACACACATCACAAATAAGTTTCTGAGAATGCTTCTGTCTAGGTTTTATATGAAGATATCCCCTTTCCAACGAATCCCTCTAAGCTATCCAAATATCCACCTGCAGATTCTACAAAAAGAGTGTTTCCAAAATGCTGTATCAAAACAAAGTTTCAACTCTGTTAGTTGAGGACACACATCACAAATAAGTTTCTGAGGATGCTTCTGTCTAGTTTTTATTTGAAGATATTTCCTTTCTCCCCATAGGCCTGAAAGCGCTTGAAATGTCCACTTCCAGATACTACAGAATGAGTGTTTCAAACCTGCTCTATCAAAGTGAATGTTCAATTCTGTGACTTCAATGCAAACATCACAAAGTAGATCCTGAGAATGCTTCTCTCTAGATTTTATATGTAATCCCGCTTCCAACGAAATCCTCAAAGCCATCCGAATATCCACTTTCTGATTCCACAAAAAGATTGTCTTAAAACAGCTCTGTAAAAACAAAGTCCAAGTCTGTTAGTTGAATACACACATCACAAACAAGTTTCTGAGAATGCTTCTGTCTAGTTTTTATGGGAAGATATTTCCTTTTTCACCATAGGCCTCACAGCGCTCGAAATGTCCACTTCCAGATAGTGCAGAAAGAGTGTTTTAAACGTGCTCTATAAAAGAGAATATTCAACTCTGTGACTTGAATGGAAACATCACAAAGCAGTTTCTGAGAATGCCTCCCTCTAGATTTTATATGGAGATATTCCCTTTTCCAACGAAATCTTCAAATCTATCTAAATATCAACTTGTAGATTCTACTCAAGGAATGTTTCCAAAATGCTGTATCCAGGCAATGGTTCAACTCTGTTAATTGAGGACATACAGCACAAAGAAGTTTCTGAGAATGCTTCTGTCTAGATTTTATATGAAGATATCCCGTTTCCAACGAAATCAACAAAGCTATCCAAATATCCACTTGCAGATTCTACAAAAAGATTGTTTCAAAACTGCTGTGTCAAAAGAAAGGTTCAACTCTGTTATTTGAGTACACACATCAAAAAGAAGTTTCTGAGAATGCTTGTTTCTGGTTTTTATGAGAAGATATTTCCTTTTTCACCATAGGCCTCAAAGCGCTGCAAATGTCCACTTCCAAATATTACAAAAAGAGTGTTTCAAACCTGCTCTATGAAAGGAAGTTTTCAACTCTATGAGTGGAATGCAAACATCACAGAGAAGTTTCTGAGAATGCATCTGTCTTGAGTTTCTATGCAGAAATTCCCGTTTCCAATGAAATCTTAAAATCTATCCAAATATCCACCTGCAGATTCTACAAAAGGAGTGTTTCCAAAATGCTGTATCAAAACAAAGGTTCAACTGTGTTCGCTTAGGACACACATCACAAATAAGTTTCTGAGAATCCTTCTGTCTAGTTTTTATTTGAAGATATTTCCTTTCTCCCCATAGGCCTGAAAGCGCTTGAAATGTCCACTTCCAGATACTACAGAAAGAGTGTTTCAAACCTGCACTCTGAAAAGGAATGTCAATTCTGTGACTTGAATGCAAACATCAGAAAGAAGTTCCTGAGAATGCTTCTCTCTAGATTTTATACGTCATCCCGTTTCTAACGAAATCCACAAAGCTACCCAAATATCCACTTTCAGATTCCACAAAAAGAGTGTTTTAAAATTGCTCTGTAACAGAAATGTTCAACTCTGTTAGTTGAATACACACATCACAAACAAGTTTCTGAGACGGCTTCTGTCTAGTTTTTATGGGAAGATATTTCCTTTTAAGCATAGGCCTCAAAGAGCTCGAAATATCCACTTCCAGTTAGTGCCGAAAGAGTGTTTCAAACCTACTCTATAAAAGGGAATATTCAACTCTGTGACTTGAATGCAAACATCACAAAGCAGTTTATGAGAATGCTTCCGTCTAGATTTTTTATGAAGATATTCCCGTTTCCAACGAAATCTTCAAAGCTATCTAAATATCACCTTGCAGATTCTTCTAAAGGAATGTTTCCAAAATGCTGTATCCAAACAAAGGTTCAACTCTGTGAATTGAGGACATACAGCACAAAGAAGTTTCTGAGAATGCTTCTGTCTAGATTTAATATGAAGATAACCCGTTTCCAACGAAATCCTCAAAGCTATCCAAATATCCACTTGCAGATTCTACAAAAAGAGTGTTTCAAAACTGCTCTGTCAAAAGGATGGTTCAACAATGTTACATGAGTACACACAACACAAAGAAGTTTCTGAGAACGCTTCTTTCTGGTTTTTATGAGAAGATATTTCCTTTTTCACCATAGGCCTCAAAGCGCTTGAAATGTCCACTTCCTGGTAGTGCAGAAAGAGTGTTTCAAAGCTGCTCTCTGAAAGGAAGTGTTCAACTCCATGAGCTGAATGCAAACATCACAGAGAAGTTTCTGAGAATGCTTCTGTCTTGATTTTATATGAAGATATTCCGGTTTCCAACGAAATCTTCAAAGCTATCCAAATATCCACCTGCAGATTCTACAAAAGGAGTGTTTCCAAAATGCTGTATCAAAACAAAGGTTCAACTCTGTTAGTTGAGGACACACATCACAAATAAGTTTCTGAGAATGCTTCTGTCTAGTTTTTATTTGAAGGTATTTCCTTTCTCTCCATAGGCCTGAAAGCGCTTGAAATGCCCACTTCCAGATACTAGAGAAAGAGTGTTTCAAACCTGCTCTATGAAAGGGAATGTTCAATTCTGTGACTTGAATGCAAACATCACAAAGAAGTTCCTGAGAATGCTTCTCTCTAGATATTATATGTCATCCCGTTTCCAACGAAATCCTCAAAGCTATCCAAATATCCACTTGCAGATTCTACAAAAAGAGTGTTTCAAAACTGCTCTGTCAAAAGGATGGTTCAACACTGTTACATGAGTACACACAACACAAAGAAGTTTCTGAGAATGCTTCTTTCTGGTTTCTATGAGAAGATATTTCCTTTTTCACCATAGGACTCAAAGCGCTCGAAATGTCCTCTTCCAGGTAGTGCAGAAAGAGTGTTTCAAACCTGCTCTATGAAAGGAAGTGTACAACTCCATGAGCTGAATGCAAACATCACTGAGAAGTTTCTGAGAATGCTTCTGTTTGATTTTATATGAAGAAATTCCCGTTTCCAACGAAATCTTCAGAGCTATCCACATATCCACATGCAGATTCTACAAAAGGAGTGTTTCCAAAATGCTGTATCAAAACCAAGGTTCAACTCTGTTAGTTGAGGACACACATCACAAATAAGTTTCTGAGAATGCTTCTGTCTAGATTTTATATGAAGATATCCCCTTTCCAATGAATCCCTCTAAGCTATCCAAATATCCACCTGCAGATTCTACAAAAAGAGTGTTTCCAAAATGCTGTATCAAAACAAAGTTTCAACTCTGTTAGTTGAGGACACACATCACAAATAAGTTTGAGGATGCTTCTGTCTAGTTTTTATTCGAAGATATTTCCTTTCTCACCATAGGCCTGAAAGCGCTTGAAATGTCCACTTCCAGATACTACAGAATGAGTGTTTCAAACCTGCTCTATAAAAGTGAATGTTCAATTCTGTGACTTCAATGCAAACATCAGAAAGAAGTTCCTGAGAATGCTTCTCTCTAGATTTTATATGTAATCCCGCTTCCAACGAAATCCTCAGAGCCATCCGAATATCCACTTTCTGATTCCACAAAAAGAGTGTTTTAAAACGGCTCTGTAAAAACAAAAGTTCAACTCTGTTAGTTGAATACACACATCACAAACAAGTTTCTGAGAATGCTTCTGTCTAGTTTTTATGGGAAGATATTTCCTTTTTCACCATAGGCCTCAAAGCGCTCGAAATGTCCACTTCCAGATAGTGCAGAAAGATTGTTTCAAACGTGCTCTATAAAAGGGAATATTCAACTCTGTGACTTGAATGGAAACATCATAAAGCAGTTTCTGAGAATGCTTCCCTCTAGATTTTATATGGAGATATTCCCTTTTCCAACGAAATCTTCAAATCTATCTAAGTATCAACTTGCAGATTCTACTCAAGGAATGTTTCCAAAATGCTGTATCCAAGCAATGGTTCAACTCTGTTAATTGAGGACATACAGCACAAAGAAGTTCCTGAGAATGCTTCTGTCTAGATTTTATATGAAGATATCCCGTTTCCAACGAAATCATCAAAGCTATCCAAATATCCACTTGCAGATTCTACAAAAAGATTGTTTCAAAACTGCTGTGTCAAAAGGAAGGTTCAACTCTGTTATTTGAGTACACACATCAAAAAGAAGTTTCTGAGAATGCTTGTTTCTGGTTTTTATGAGAAGATATTTCCTTTTTCACCATAGGCCTCAAAGCGCTGCAAATGTCCACTTCCAAATATTACAAAAAGAGTGTTTCAAACCTGCTCTATGAAAGGAAGTTTTCAACTCTATGAGTGGAATGCAAACATCACAGTAGAAGTTTCTGAGAATGCATCTGTCTTGAGTTTCTATGAAGAAATTCCCGTTTCCAACGAAATCTTAAAATCTATCCAAATATCCACCTGCAGATTCTACAAAAGGAGTGTTTCGAAAATGCTGTATCAAAACAAAGGTTCAACTGTGTTCGTTTAGGACACACATCACAAATAAGTTTCTGAGAAGCCTTCTGTCTGGTTTTTATTTGAAGAGATTTCCTTTCTCCCCGTAGGCCTGAAAGCGCTTGAAATGTCCACTTCCAGATACTACAGAAAGAGTGTTTCAAACCTGCACTCTGAAAAGGAATGTTCAATTCTGTGACTTGAATGCAAACATCAGAAAGAAGTTCCTGAGAATGCTTCTCTCTAGATTTTATACGTCATCCCGTTTCCAACGAAATCCACAAAGCTATCCAATTATCCACTTTCAGATTCCACAAAAAGAGTGTTTTAAAATTGCTCTGTAACAGAAATGTTCAACTCTGTTAGTTGAATACACACATCACAAACAAGTTTCTGAGACGGCTTCTGTCTAGTTTTTATGGGAAGATATTTCCTTTTAACCATAGGCCTCAAAGAGCTCGAAATATCCACTTCCAGGTAGTGCCGAAAGAGTGTTTCAAACCTACTCTATAAAAGGGATTATTCAACTCTGTGACTTGAATGCAAACATCACAAAGCAGTTTCTGAGAATGCTTCCGTCTAGATTTTCTATGAAGATATTCCCGTTTCCAACGAAATCTTCAAAGCTATCTAAATATCAACTTGCAGATTCTACTAAAGGAATGTCTCCAAAATGCTGTATCCAAACAAAGGTTCAGCTCTGTGAATTGAGGACATACAGCACAAAGAAGTTTCTGAGAATGCTCCTGTCTGGATTTTATAGGAAGATAACCCGTTTCCAACGAAATCCTCAAAGCTATCCAAATATCCACTTGCAGATTCTACCAAAAGAGTGTTTCAAAACTGCTCTGTCAAAAGGAAGGTTCAACACTGTTACTTGAGTACACACAACACAAAGAAGTTTCTGAGAATGCTTCTTTCTGGTTTTTATGAGAAGATATTTCCTTTTTCACCATAGGCCTCAAAGCGCTCGAAATGTCCGCTTCCAGGTAGTGCAGAAAGAGTGTTTCAAACCTGCTCTATGAAAGGAAGTGTTCAACTCTACTGAGTTGAATGCAAACATCACAGAGATGTTTCCGAGAATGCTTCTGTCTTGATTTTATATGAAGATATTCCGGTTTCCAACGAAATCTTCAAAGCTATCCAAATATCCACCTGCAGATTCTACAAAAGGAGTGTTTCCAAAATGCTGTATCAAAACCAAGGTTCAACTCTGTTAGTTGAGGACACACATCACAAATAAGTTTCTGAGAATGCTTCTGTCTAGTTTTTATTTGAAGGTATTTCCTTTCTCTCCATAGGCCTGAAAGCGCTTGAAATGCCCACTTCCAGATACTAGAGAAAGAGTGTTTCAAACCTGCTCTATGAAAGGGAATGTTCAATTCTGTGACTTGAATGCAAACATCACAAAGAAGTTCCTGAGAATGCTTCTCTCTAGATATTATATGTCATCCCGTTTCCAACGAAATCCTCAAAGCTATCCAAATATCCACTTGCAGATTCTACAAAAAGAGTGTTTCAAAACTCCTCTGTCAAAAGGATGGTTCAACACTGTTACATGAGTACACACAACACAAAGAAGTTTCTGAGAATGCTTCTTTCTGGTTTCTATGAGAAGATATTTCCTTTTTCACCATAGGACTCAAAGCGCTCGAAATGTCCTCTTCCAGGTAGTGCAGAAAGAGTGTTTCAAACCTGCTCTATGAAAGGAAGTGTACAACTCCATGAGCTGAATGCAAACATCACTGAGAAGTTTCTGAGAATGCTTCTGTTTGATTTTATATGAAGAAATTCCCATTTCCAACGAAATCTTCAGAGCTATCCACATATCCACCTGCAGATTCTACAAAAGGAGTGTTTCCAAAATGCTGTATCAAAACCAAGGTTCAACTCTGTTAGTTGAGGACACACATCACAAATAAGTTTCTGAGAATGCTTCTGTCTAGATTTTATATGAAGATATCCCCTTTCCAACGAATCCCTCTAAGCTATCCAAATACCCACCTGCAGATTCTACAAAAAGAGTGTTTCCAAAATGCTGTATCAAAACAAAGTTTCAACTCTGTTAGTTGAGGACACACATCACAAATAAGTTTCTGAGGATGCTTCTGTCTAGTTTTTATTCGAAGATATTTCCTTTCTCACCATAGGCCTGAAAGCGCTTGAAATGTCCACTTCCAGATCCTACAGAATGAGTGTTTCAAACCTGCTCTATCAAAGTGAATGTTCAATTCTGTGACTTCAATGCAAACATCACAAAGAAGTTCCTGAGAATGCTTCTCTCTAGATTTTATATGTAATCCCGCTTCCAACGAAATCCTCAGAGCCATCCGAATATCCACTTTCTGATTCCACAAAAAGAGTGTTTTAAAACGGCTCTGTAAAAACAAAAGTTCAACTCTGTTAGTTGAATACACACATCACAAACAAGTTTCTGAGAATGCTTCTGTCTAGTTTTTATGGGAAGATATTTCCTTTTTCACCATAGGCCTCAAAGCGCTCGAAATGTCCACTTCCTGATAGTGCAGAAAGATTGTTTCAAACGTGCTCTATAAAAGGGAATATTCAACTCTGTGACTTGAATGGAAACATCATAAAGCAGTTTCTGAGAATGCTTCCCTCTAGATTTTATATGGAGATATTCCCTTTTCCAACGAAATCTTCAAATCTATCTAAGTATCAACTTGCAGATTCTACTCAAGGAATGTTTCCAAAATGCTGTATCCAAGCAATGGTTCAACTCTGTTAATTGAGGACATACAGCACAAAGAAGTTTCTGAGAATGCTTCTGTCTAGATTTTATATGAAGATATCCCGTTTCCAACGAAATCATCAAAGCTATCCAAATATCCACTTGCAGATTCTACAAAAAGATTGTTTCAAAACTGCTGTGTCAAAAGGAAGGTTCAACTCTGTTATTTGAGTACACACATCAAAAAGAAGTTTCTGAGAATGCTTGTTTCTGGTTTTTATGAGAAGATATTTCCTTTTTCACCATAGGCCTCAAAGCGCTGCAAATGTCCACTTCCAAATATTACAAAAAGAGTGTTTCAAACCTGCTCTATGAAAGGAAGTTTTCAACTCTATGAGTGGAATGCAAACATCACAGAGAAGTTTCTGAGAATGCATCTGTCTTGAGTTTCTATGCAGAAATTCCCGTTTCCAATGAAATCTTAAAATCTATCCAAATATCCACCTGCAGATTCTACAAAAGGAGTGTTTCCAAAATGCTGTATCAAAACAAAGGTTCAACTGTGCTCGCTTAGGACACACATCACAAATAAGTTTCTGAGAATCCTTCTGTCTAGTTTTTATTTGAAGATATTTCCTTTCTCCCCATAGGCCTGAAAGCGCTTGAAATGTCCACTTCCAGAAACTACAGAAAGAGTGTTTCAAACCTGCACTCTGAAAAGGAATGTCAATTCTGTGACTTGAATGCAAACATCAGAAAGAAGTTCCTGAGAATGCTTCTCTCTAGATTTTATACGTCATCCCGTTTCCAACGAAATCCACAAAGCTATCCAATTATCCACTTTCAGATTCCACAAAAAGAGTGTTTTAAATTGCTCTGTAACAGAAATGTTCAACTCTGTTAGTTGAATACACACATCACAAACAAGTTTCTGAGACGGCTTCTGTCTAGTTTTTATGGGAAGATATTTCCTTTTAACCATAGGCCTCAAAGAGCTCGAAATATCCACTTCCAGGTAGTGCCGAAAGAGTGTTTCAAACCTACTCTATAAAAGGGAATATTCAACTCTGTGACTTGAATGCAAACATCACAAAGCAGTTTCTGAGAATGCTTCCCGTCTAGATTTTCTATGAAGATATTCCCGTTTCCAACGAAATCTTCAAAGCTATCTAAATATCAACTTGCAGATTCTACTAAAGGAATGTCTCCAAAATGCTGTATCCAAACAAAGGTTCAGCTCTGTGAATTGAGGACATACAGCACAAAGAAGTTTCTGAGAATGCTCCTGTCTGGATTTTATAGGAAGATAACCCGTTTCCAACGAAATCCTCAAAGCTATCCAAATATCCACTTGCAGATTCTACCAAAAGAGTGTTTCAAAACTGCTCTGTCAAAAGGAAGGTTCAACACTGTTACTTGAGTACACACAACACAAAGAAGTTTCTGAGAATGCTTCTTTCTGGTTTTTATGAGAAGATATTTCCTTTTTCACCATAGGCCTCAAAGCGCTCGAAATGTCCGCTTCCAGGTAGTGCAGAAAGAGTGTTTCAAACCTGCTCTATGAAAGGAAGTGTTCAACTCTACTGAGTTGAATGCAAACATCACAGAGATGTTTCCGAGAATGCTTCTGTCTTGATTTTATATGAAGATATTCCGGTTTCCAACGAAATCTTCAAAGCTATCCAAATATCCACCTGCAGATTCTACAAAAGGAGTGTTTCCAAAATGCTGTATCAAAACAAAGGTTCAACTCTGTTAGTTGAGGACACACATCACAAATAAGTTTCTGAGAATGCTTCTGTCTAGTTTTTATTTGAAGGTATTTCCTTTCTCTCCATAGGCCTGAAAGCGCTTGAAATGCCCACTTCCAGATACTAGAGAAAGAGTGTTTCAAACCTGCTCTATGAAAGGGAATGTTCAATTCTGTGACTTGAATGCAAACATCACAAAGAAGTTCCTGAGAATGCTTCTCTCTAGATATTATATGTCATCCCGTTTCCAACGAAATCCTCAAAGCTATCCAAATATCCACTTGCAGATTCTACAAAAAGAGTGTTTCAAAACTGCTCTGTCAAAAGGATGGTTCAACACTGTTACATGAGTACACACAACACAAAGAAGTTTCTGAGAATGCTTCTTTCTGGTTTCTATGAGAAGATATTTCCTTTTTCACCATAGGACTCAAAGCGCTCGAAATGTCCTCTTCCAGGTAGTGCAGAAAGAGTGTTTCAAACCGGCTCTATGAAAGGAAGTGTTCAACTCCATGAACTGAATGCAAACATCACTGAGAAGTTTCTGAGAATGCTTCTGTTTGATTTTATATGAAGAAATTCCCGTTTCCAACGAAATCTTCAGAGCTATCCACATATCCACCTGCAGATTCTACAAAAGGAGTGTTTCCAAAATGCTGTATCAAAACCAAAGTTCAACTCTGTTAGTTGAGGACACACATCACAAATAAGTTTCTGAGAATGCTTCTGTCTAGATTCTATATGAAGATATCCCCTTTCCAACGAATCCCTCTAAGCTATCCAAATATCCACCTGCAGATTCTACAAAAAGAGTGTTTCCAAAATGCTGTATCAAAACAAAGGTTCAACTCTGTTAGTTGAGGACACACATCACAAATAAGTTTGAGGATGCTTCTGTCTAGTTTTTATTCGAAGATATTTCCTTTCTCACCATAGGCCTGAAAGCGCTTGAAATGTCCACTTCCAGATACTACAGAATGAGTGTTTCAAACCTGCTCTATCAAAGTGAATGTTCAATTCTGTGACTTCAATGCAAACATCACAAAGAAGTTCCTGAGAATGCTTCTCTCTAGATTTTATATGTAATCCCGCTTCCAACGAAATCCTCAGAGCCATCCGAATATCCACTTTCTGATTCCACAAAAAGAGTGTTTTAAAACGGCTCTGTAAAAACAAAAGTTCAACTCTGTTAGTTGAATACACACATCACAAACAAGTTTCTGAGAATGCTTCTGTCTAGTTTTTATGGGAAGATATTTCCTTTTTCACCATAGGCCTCAAAGCGCTCGAAATGTCCACTTCCAGATAGTGCAGAAAGAGTGTTTCAAACGTGCTCTATAAAAGGGAATATTCAACTCTGTGACTTGAATGGAAACATCACAAAGCAGTTTCTGAGAATGCTTCCCTCTAGATTTTATATGGAGATATTCCGTTTTCGAACGAAATCTTCAAATCTATCTAAATATCAACTTGCAGATTCTACTCAAGGAATGTTTCCAAAATGCTGTATGCAAGCAATGGTTCAACTCTGTTAATTGAGGTCATACAGCAGAAAGAAGTTTCTGAGAATGCTTCTGTCTAGATTTTATATGAAGATATCCCGTTTCCAACGAAATCCTCAAAGCTATCCAAATATCCACTTGCAGATTCTACAAAAAGATTGTTTCAAAACTGCTGTGTCAAAAGGAAGGTTCAACTCTGTTACTTGAGTACACACATCAAAAAGAAGTTTCTGAGAATGCTTGTTTCTGGTTTTTATGAGAAGATATTTCCTTTTTCACCATAGGCCTCAAAGCGCTGCAAATGTCCACTTCCAAATATTACAAAAAGAGTGTTTCAAACCTGCTCTATGAAAGGAAGTTTTCAACTCTATGAGTGGAATGCAAACATCACAGAGAAGTTTCTGAGAATGCATCTGTCTTGAGCTTCTATGAAGAAATTCCCGTTTCCAACGAAATCTTAAAATCTATCCAAATATCCACCTGCAGATCCTACAAAAGGAGTGTTTCCAAAATGCTGTATCAAAACAAAGGTTCAACTGTGTTCGTTTAGGACACACATCACAAATAAGTTTCTGAGAATCCTTCTGTCTGGTTTTTATTTGAAGAGATTTCCTTTCTCCCCGTAGGCCTGAAAGCGCTTGAAATGTCCACTTCCAGATACTACAGAAAGAGTGTTTCAAACCTGCACTCTGAAAAGGAATGTTCAATTCTGTGACTTGAATGCAAACATCAGAAAGAAGTTCCTGAGAATGCTTCTCTCTAGATTTTATACGTCATCCCGTTTCCAACGAAATCCACAAAGCTATCCAATTATCCACTTTCAGATTCCACAAAGAGTGTTTTAAAATTGCTCTGTAACAGAAATGTTCAACTCTGTTAGTTGAATACACACATCACAAACAAGTTTCTGAGACGGCTTCTGTCTAGTTTTTATGGGAAGATATTTCCTTTTAACCATAGGCCTCACAGAGCTCGAAATATCCACTTCCAGGTAGTGCCGAAAGAGTGTTTCAAACCTACTCTATAAAAGGGAATATTCAACTCTGTGACTTGAATGCAAACATCACAAAGCAGTTTCTGAGAATGCTTCCGTCTAGATTTTCTATGAAGATATTCCCGTTTCCAACGAAATCTTCAAAGCTATCTAAATATCAACTTGCAGATTCTACTAAAGGAATGTCTCCAAAATGCTGTATCCAAACAAAGGTTCAGCTCTGTGAATTGAGGACATACAGCACAAAGAAGTTTCTGAGAATGCTCCTGTCTGGATTTTATAGGAAGATAACCCGTTTCCAACGAAATCCTCAAAGCTATCCAAATATCCACTTGCAGATTCTACCAAAAGAGTGTTTCAAAACTGCTCTGTCAAAAGGAAGGTTCAACACTGTTACTTGAGTACACACAACACAAAGAAGTTTCTGAGAATGCTTCTTTCTGGTTTTTATGAGAAGATATTTCCTTTTTCACCATAGGCCTCAAAGCGCTCGAAATGTCCGCTTCCAGGTAGTGCAGAAAGAGTGTTTCAAACCTGCTCTATGAAAGGAAGTGTTCAACTCTACTGAGTTGAATGCAAACATCACAGAGATGTTTCCGAGAATGCTTCTGTCTTGATTTTATATGAAGATATTCCGGTTTCCAACGAAATCTTCAAAGCTATCCAAATATCCACCTGCAGATTCTACAAAAGGAGTGTTTCCAAAATGCTGTATCAAAACAAAGGTTCAACTCTGTTAGTTGAGGACACACATCACAAATAAGTTTCTGAGAATGCTTCTGTCTAGTTTTTATTTGAAGGTATTTCCTTTCTCTCCATAGGCCTGAAAGCGCTTGAAATGCCCACTTCCAGATACTAGAGAAAGAGTGTTTCAAACCTGCTCTATGAAAGGGAATGTTCAATTCTGTGACTTGAATGCAAACATCACAAAGAAGTTCCTGAGAATGCTTCTCTCTAGATATTATATGTCATCCCGTTTCCAACGAAATCCTCAAAGCTATCCAAATATCCACTTGCAGATTCTACAAAAAGAGTGTTTCAAAACTGCTCTGTCAAAAGGATGGTTCAACACTGTTACATGAGTACACACAACACAAAGAAGTTTCTGAGAATGTTTCTTTCTGGTTTCTATGAGAAGATATTTCCTTTTTCACCATAGGACTCAAAGCGCTCGAAATGTCCTCTTCCAGGTAGTGCAGAAAGAGTGTTTCAAACCTGCTCTATGAAAGGAAGTGTACAACTCCATGAGCTGAATGCAAACATCACTGAGAAGTTTCTGAGAATGCTTCTGTTTAATTTTATATGAAGAAATTCCCGTTTCCAACGAAATCTTCAGAGCTATCCACATATCCACCTGCAGATTCTACAAAAGGAGTGTTTCCAAAATGCTGTATCAAAACCAAGGTTCAACTCTGTTAGTTGAGGACACACATCACAAATAAGTTTCTGAGAATGCTTCTGTCTAGATTTTATATGAAGATATCCCCTTTCCAACGAATCCCTCTAAGCTATCCAAATATCCACCTGCAGATTCTACAAAAAGAGTGTTTCCAAAATGCTGTATCAAAACAAAGTTTCAACTCTGTTAGTTGAGGACACACATCACAAATAAGTTTCTGAGGATGCTTCTGTCTAGTTTTTATTTGAAGATATTTCCTTTCTCCCCATAGGCCTGAAAGCGCTTGAATTGTCCACTTCCAGATACTACAGAATGAGTGTTTCAAACCTGCTCTATCAAAGTGAATGTTCAATTCTGTGACTTCAATGCAAACATCACAAAGTAGTTCCTGAGAATGCTTCTCTCTAGATTTTATATGTAATCCCGCTTCCAACGAAGTCCTCAAAGCCATCCGAACATCCACTTTCTGATTCCACAAAAGGATTGTCTTAAAACTGCTCTGTAAAAACAAAAGTTCAAGTCTGTTAGTTGAATACACACATCACAAACAAGTTTCTGAGAATGCTTCTGTCTAGTTTTTATGGGAAGATATTTCCTTTTTCACCATAGGCCTCAAAGCGCTCGAAATGTCCACTTCCAGATAGTGCAGAAAGAGTGTTTCAAACGTGCTCTATAAAAGAGAATATTCAACTCTGTGACTTGAATGGAAACATCACAAAGCAGTTTCTGAGAATGCCTCCGTCTAGATTTTATATGAAGATATTCCCGTTTCCAACGAAATCTTCAAATCTATCTAAATATCTACTTGCAGATTCTACTAAAGGAATGTTTCCAAAATGCTGTATCCAAGCAATGGTTCAACTCTGTTAATTGAGGACATACAGCACAAAGAAGTTTCTGAGAATGCTTCTGTCTAGATTTTATATGAAGATATCCCGTTTCCAACGAAATCCTCAAAGCTATCCAAATATCCACTTGCAGATTCTACAAAAAGATTGTTTCAAAACTGCTGTGTCAAAAGGAAGGTTCAACTCTGTTACTTGAGTACACACATCAGAAAGCAGTTTCTGAGAATGCTTCTTTCTGGTTTTTATGAGAAGATATTTCCTTTTTCACCATAGGCCTCAAAGCGCTGCAAATGTCCACTTCCAAATATTACAAAAAGAGTGTTTCAAACCTGCTCTACGAAAGGAAGTTTTCAACTCTATGAGTGGAATGCAAACATCACAGAGAAGTTTCTGAGAATGCATCTGTCTTGAGTTTATATGAAGAAATTCCCGTTTCCAATGAAATCTTAAAATCTTTCCAAATATCCACCTGCAGATTCTACAAAAGGAGTGTTTCCTAAATGCTGTATCAAAACAAAGGTTCAACTGTGTTCGTTTAGGACACACATCACAAATAAGTTTCTGAGAATCCTTCTGTCTAGTTTTTATTTCAAGATATTTCCTTTCTCCCCATAGGCTTGAAAGCGCTTGAAATGTCCACTTCCAGATACTACAGAGTGTTTCAAACCTGCACTATGAAAAGGAATGTTCAATTCTGTGACTTGAATGCAAACATCAGAAAGAAGTTCCTGAGAATGCTTCTCTCTAGATTTTAAACGTCATCCCGTTTCCAACGAAATCCACAAAGCTATCCAATTATCCACTTTCAGATTCCACCAAAAGAGTGTTTTAAAACTGCTCTGTAAAAAGAAATATTCAACGCTCTTAGTTGAATACACACATCTCAAACAAGTTTCTAAGAAGGCTTCCGTCTAGTTTTTATGGGAAGATATTTCCTTTTTCACCATAGGCCTCAAAGCGCTCGAAATCTCCACTTCCAGGGAGTGCAGAAAGAGTGTTTCAAACCTGCTCTGTAAAAGAATATTTAACTCTGTGACTTGAATGCAAACATCACAGAGCAGTTTCTGACAATGCTTCCGTCTAGATTTTTTATGAAGATATTCCCGTTTCCAACGAAATCTTCAAAGCTATCTAAATATCAACTTGCAGATTCTACTAAAGGAATGTTTCCAAAATGCTGTATCCAAACAAAGGTTCAACTCTGTGAATTGAGGACATACAGCACAAAGAAGTTTCTGAGAATGCTTCTGTCTAGATTTAATATGAAGATAACCCGTTTCCAACGAAATCCTCAAAGCTATCCAAATATCCACTGGCAGATTCTACAAAAAGAGTGTTTCAAAACTGCTCTGTCAAAAGGATGGTTCAACACTGTTACATGAGTACACACAACACAAAGAAGTTTCTGAGAACGCTTCTTTCTGGTTTTTATGAGAGGATATTTCCTTTTTCACCATAGGCCTCAAAGCGCTCGAAATGTCCACTTCCAGGTAGTGCAGAAAGAGTGTTTCAAACCTGCTCTATGAAAGGAAGTGTTCAACTCCATGAGCTGAATGCAAACATCACAGAGAAGTTCCTGAGAATGCTTCTGTTTGATTTTATATGAAGAAATTCCCGTTTCCAACGAAATCTTCAAAGCTATCCACATATCCACCTGCAGATTCTTCAAAAGGAGTGTTTCCAAAATGCTGTATCAAAACCAAGGTTCAACTCTGTTAGTTGAGGACACACATCACAAATAAGTTTCTGAGAATGCTTCTGTCTAGATTTTATATGAAGATATCCCCTTTCCAACGAATCCCTCTAAGCTATCCAAGTATCCACCTGCAGATTCTACAAAAAGAGTGTTTCCAAAATGCTGTATCAAAACAAAGTTTCAACTCTGTTAGTTGAGGACACACATCACAAATAAGTTTCTGAGGATGCTTCTGTCTAGTTTTTATTCGAAGATATTTCCTTTCTCACCATAGGCCTGAAAGCTCTTGAAATGTCCACTTCCAGATACTACAGAATGAGTGTTTCAAACCTGCTCTATCAAAGTGAATGTTCAATTCCGTGACTTCAATGCAAACATCAGAAAGAAGTTGCCTGAGAATGCTTCTCTCTAGCATTTTATATGTAATCCCGCTTCCAACGAAATCCTCAAAGCCATCCGAATATCCACTTTCTGATTCCACAAAAAGATTGTTTTAAAACTGCTCTGTAAAAACAAAAGTTCAAGTCTGTTAGTTGAATACACACATCACAAACAAGTTTCTGAGAATGCTTCCGTCTAGTTTTTATGGGAAGATATTTCCTTTTTCACCACAGGCCTCAAAGCGCTCTAAATCTCCACTTCCAGGGAGTGCAGAAAGAGTGTTTCAAACCTGCTCTGTAAAAGAATATTTAACTCTGTGACTTGAATGCAAACATCACAAAGCAGTTTCTGACAATGCTTCCGTCTAGATTTTTTATGAAGATATTCCCGTTTCCAACGAAATCTTCAAAGCTATCTAAATATCAACTTGCAGATTCTACTAAAGGAATGTTTCCAAAATGCTGTATCCAAACAAAGGTTCAACTCTGTGAATTGAGGACATACAGCACAAAGAAGTTTCTGAGAATGCTTCTGTCTAGATTTAATATGAAGATAACCCGTTTCCAACGAAATCCTCAAAGCTATCCAAATATCCACTTGCAGATTCTCCAAAAAGAGTGTTTCAAAACTGCTCTGTCAAAAGGATGGTTCAACACTGTTACATGAGTACACACAACACAAAGAAGTTTCTGAGAACGCTTCTTTCTGGTTTTTATGAGAAGATATTTCCTTTTTCACCATAGGCCTCAAAGCGCTCGAAATGTCCACTTCCTGGTAGTGCAGAAAGAGTGTTTCAAACCTGCTCTATGAAAGGAAGTGTTCAACTCCATGAGCTGAATGCAAACATCACAGAGAAGTTTCTGAGAATGCTTCTGTTTGATTTTATATGAAGAAATTCCCGTTTCCAACGAAATCTTCAAAGCTATCCACATATCCACCTGCAGATTCTACAAAAGGAGTGTTTCCAAAATGCTGTATCAAAACCAAGGTTCAACTCTGTTAGTTGAGGACACACATCACAAATAAGTTTCTGAGAATGCTTCTGTCTAGATTTTATATGAAGATATCCCCTTTCCAACGAATCCCTCTAAGCTATCCAAATATCCACCTGCAGATTCTACAAAAAGAGTGTTTCCAAAATGCTGTATCAAAACAAAGTTTCAACTCTGTTACTTGAGGACACACATCACAAATAACTTTCTGAGGATGCTTCTGTCTAGTTTTTATTTGAAGATATTTCCTTTCTCCCCATAGGCCTGAAAGCGCTTGAATTGTCCACTTCCAGATACTACAGAATGAGTGTTTCAAACCTGCTCTATCAAAGTGAATGTTCAATTCTGTGACTTCAATGCAAACATCACAAAGTAGTTCCTGAGAATGCTTCTCTCTAGATTTTATATGTAATCCCGCTTCCAACGAAGTCCTCAAAGCCATCCGAATATCCACTTTCTGATTCCACAAAAGGATTGTCTTAAAACTGCTCTGTAAAAACAAAAGTTCAAGTCTGTTAGTTGAATACACACATCACAAACAAGTTTCTGAGAATGCTTCTGTCTAGTTTTTATGGGAAGATATTTCCTTTTTCACCATAGGCCTCAAAGCGCTCGAAATGTCCACTTCCAGATAGTGCAGAAAGAGTGTTTCAAATGTGCTCTATAAAAGAGAATATTCAACTCTGTGACTTGAATGGAAACATCACAAAGCCGTTTCTGAGAATGCCTCCGTCTAGGATTTTATATGAAGATATTCCCGTTTCCAACGAAATCTTCAAATCTATCTAAATATCAACTTGCAGATTCTACTAAAGGAATGTTTCCAAAATGCTGTATCCAAGCAATGGTTCAACTCTGTTAATTGAGGACATACAGCACAAAGAAGTTTCTGAGAATGCTTCTGTCTAGATTTTATATGAAGATATCCCGTTTCCAACGAAATCCTCAAAGCTATCCAAATATCCACTTGCAGATTCTACAAAAAGATTGTTTCAAAACTGCTGTGTGAAAAGGAAGGTTCAACTCTGTTACTTGAGTACACACATCAAAAAGAAGTTTCTGAGAATGCTTGTTTCTGGTTTTTGTGAGAAGATATTTCCTTTTTCACCATAGGCCTCAAAGCGCTGCAAATGTCCACTTCCAAATATTACAAAAAGAGTGTTTCAAACCTGCTCTATGAAAGGAAGTTTTCAACTCTATGAGTGGAATGCAAACATCACAGAGAAGTTTCTGAGAATGCATCTGTCTTGAGTTTCTATGAAGAAATTCCCGTTTCCAACGAAATCTTAAAATCTATCCAAATATCCACCTGCAGATCCTACAAAAGGAGTGTTTCCAAAATGCTGTATCAAAACAAAGGTTCAACTGTGTTCGTTTAGGACACACATCACAAATAAGTTTCTGAGAATCCTTCTGTCTAGTTTTTATTTGAAGATATTTCCTTTCTCCCCATAGGCCTGAAAGCGCTTGAAATGTCCACTTCCAGATACTACAGAAAGAGTGTTTCAAACCTGCACTATGAAAAGGAATGTTCAATTCTGTGACTTGAATGCAAACATCAGAAAGAAGTTCCTGAGAATGCTTCTCTCTAGATTTTATACGTCATCCCGTTTCCAACGAAATCCACAAAGCTATCCAATTATCCACTTTCAGATTCCACAAAAAGAGTGTTTTAAAATTGCTCTGTAACAGAAATGTTCAACTCTGGTAGTTGAATACACACATCACAAACAAGTTTGCTGAGACGGCTTCTGTCTAGTTTTTATGGGAAGATATTTCCTTTTAACCATAGGCCTCAAAGAGCTCGAAATATCCACTTCCAGGTAGTGCCGAAAGAGTGTTTCAAACCTACTCTATAAAAGGGAATATTCAACTCTGTGACTTGAATGCAAACATCACAAAGCAGTTTCTGAGAATGCTTCCGTCTAGATTTTCTATGAAGATATTCCCGTTTCCAACGAAATCTTCAAAGCTATCTAAATATCAACTTGCAGATTCTACTAAAGGAATGTCTCCAAAATGCTGTATCCAAACAAAGGTTCAGCTCTGTGAATTGAGGACATACAGCACAAAGAAGTTTCTGAGAATGCTCCTGTCTGGATTTTATATGAAGATAACCCGTTTCCAACGAAATCCTCAAAGCTATCCAAATATCCACTTGCAGATTCTACCAAAAGAGTGTTTCAAAACTGCTCTGTCAAAAGGAAGGTTCAACACTGTTACTTGAGTACACACAACACAAAGAAGTTTCTGAGAATGCTTCTTTCTGGTTTTTATGAGAAGATATTTCCTTTTTCACCATAGGCCTCAAAGCGCTCGAAATGTCCGCTTCCAGGTAGTGCAGAAAGAGTGTTTCAAACCTGCTCTATGAAAGGAAGTGTTCAACTCTACTGAGTTGAATGCAAACATCACAGAGATGTTTCCGAGAATGCTTCTGTCTTGATTTTATATGAAGATATTCCGGTTTCCAACGAAATCTTCAAAGCTATCCAAATATCCACCTGCAGATTCTACAAAAGGAGTGTTTCCAAAATGCTGTATCAAAACAAAGGTTCAACTCTGTTAGTTGAGGACACACATCACAAATAAGTTTCTGAGAATGCTTCTGTCTAGTTTTTATTTGAAGGTATTTCCTTTCTCTCCATAGGCCTGAAAGCGCTTGAAATGCCCACTTCCAGATACTAGAGAAAGAGTGTTTCAAACCTGCTCTATGAAAGGGAATGTTCAATTCTGTGACTTGAATGCAAACATCACAAAGAAGTTCCTGAGAATGCTTCTCTCTAGATATTATATGTCATCCCGTTTCCAACGAAATCCTCAAAGCTATCCAAATATCCACTTGCAGATTCTACAAAAAGAGTGTTTCAAAACTCCTCTGTCAAAAGGATGGTTCAACACTGTTACATGAGTACACACAACACAAAGAAGTTTCTGAGAATGCTTCTTTCTGGTTTCTATGAGAAGATATTTCCATTTTTCACCATAGGACTCAAAGCGCTCGAAATGTCCTCTTCCAGGTAGTGCAGAAAGAGTGTTTCAAACCTGCTCTATGAAAGGAAGTGTACAACTCCATGAGCTGAATGCAAACATCACTGAGAAGTTTCTGAGAATGCTTCTGTTTGATTTTATATGAAGAAATTCCCGTTTCCAACGAAATCTTCAGAGCTATCCACATATCCACCTGCAGATTCTACAAAAGGAGTGTTTCCAAAATGCTGTATCAAAACCAAGGTTCAACTCTGTTAGTTGAGGACACACATCACAAATAAGTTTCTGAGAATGCTTCTGTCTAGATTTTATATGAAGATATCCCCTTTCCAACGAATCCCTCTAAGCTATCCAAATATCCACCTGCAGATTCTACAAAAAGAGTGTTTCCAAAATGCTGTATCAAAACAAAGTTTCAACTCTGTTAGTTGAGGACACACATCACAAATAAGTTTGAGGATGCTTCTGTCTAGTTTTTATTCGAAGATATTTCCTTTCTCACCATAGGCCTGAAAGCGCTTGAAATGTCCACTTCCAGATACTACAGAATGAGTGTTTCAAACCTGCTCTATCAAAGTGAATGTTCAATTCTGTGACTTCAATGCAAACATCACAAAGAAGTTCCTGAGAATGCTTCTCTCTAGATTTTATACGTAATCCCGCTTCCAACGAAATCCTCAGAGCCATCCGAATATCCACTTTCTGATTCCACAAAAAGAGTGTTTTAAAACGGCTCTGTAAAAACAAAAGTTCAACTCTGTTAGTTGAATACACACATCACAAACAAGTTTCTGAGAATGCTTCTGTCTAGTTTTTATGGGAAGATATTTCCTTTTTCACCATAGGCCTCAAAGCGCTCGAAATGTCCGCTTCCAGATAGTGCAGAAAGAGTGTTTCAAACGTGCTCTATAAAAGGGAATATTCAACTCTGTGACTTGAATGGAAACATCACAAAGCAGTTTCTGAGAATGCTTCCCTCTAGATTTTATATGGAGATATTCCCTTTTCCAACGAAATCTTCAAATCTATCTAAATATCAACTTGCAGATTCTACTCAAGGAATGTTTCCAAAATGCTGTATCCAGGCAATGGTTCAACTCTGTTAATTGAGGACATACAGCACAAAGAAGTTTCTGAGAATGCTTCTGTCTAGATTTTATATGAAGATATCCCGTTTCCAACGAAATCCTCAAAGCTATCCAAATATCCACTTGCAGATTCTACAAAAAGATTGTTTCAAAACTGCTGTGTCAAGAGGAAGGTTCAACTCTGTTACTTGAGTACACACATCAAAAAGAAGTTTCTGAGAATGCTTGTTTCTGGTTTTTATGAGAAGATATTTCCTTTTTTCACCATAGGCCTCAAAGCGCTGCAAATGTCCACTTCCAAATATTACAAAAAGAGTGTTTCAAACCTGCTCTATGAAAGGAAGTTTTCAACTCCTATGAGTGGAATGCAAACATCACAGAGAAGTTTCTGAGAATGCATCTGTCTTGAGCTTCTATGAAGAAATTCCCGTTTCCAACGAAATCTTAAAATCTATCCAAATATCCACCTGCAGATCCTACAAAAGGAGTGTTTCCAAAATGCTGTATCAAAACAAAGGTTCAACTGTGTTCGTTTAGGACACACATCACAAATAAGTTTCTGAGAATCCTTCTGTCTAGTTTTTATTTGAAGATATTTCCTTTCTCCCCGTAGGCCTGAAAGCGCTTGAAATGTCCACTTCCAGATACTACAGAAAGAGTGTTTCAAACCTGCACTCTGAAAAGGAATGTTCAATTCTGTGACTTGAATGCAAACATCAGAAAGAAGTTCCTGAGAATGCTTCTCTCTAGATTTTATACGTCATCCCGTTTCCAACGAAATCCACAAAGCTATCCAATTATCCACTTTCAGATTCCACAAAGAGTGTTTTAAAATTGCTCTGTAACAGAAATGTTCAACTCTGTTAGTTGAATACACACATCACAAACAAGTTTCTGAGACGGCTTCTGTCTAGTTTTTATGGGAAGATATTTCCTTTTAACCATAGGCCTCAAAGAGCTCGAAATATCCACTTCCAGGTAGTGCCGAAAGAGTGTTTCAAACCTACTCTATAAAAGGGAATATTCAACTCTGTGACTTGAATGCAAACATCACAAAGCAGTTTCTGAGAATGCTTCCGTCTAGATTTTCTATGAAGATATTCCCGTTTCCAACGAAATCTTCAAAGCTATCTAAATATCAACTTGCAGATTCTACTAAAGGAATGTCTCCAAAATGCTGTATCCAAACAAAGGTTCAGCTCTGTGAATTGAGGACATACAGCACAAAGAAGTTTCTGAGAATGCTCCTGTCTGGATTTTATATGAAGATAACCCGTTTCCAACGAAATCCTCAAAGCTATCCAAATATCCACTTGCAGATTCTACCAAAAGAGTGTTTCAAAACTGCTCTGTCAAAAGGAAGGTTCAACACTGTTACTTGAGTACACACAACACAAAGAAGTTTCTGAGAATGCTTCTTTCTGGTTTTTATGAGAAGATATTTCCTTTTTCACCATAGGCCTCAAAGCGCTCGAAATGTCCGCTTCCAGGTAGGGCAGAAAGAGTGTTTCAAACCTGCTCTATGAAAGGAAGTGTTCAACTCTACTGAGTTGAATGCAAACATCACAGAGATGTTTCCGAGAATGCTTCTGTCTTGATTTTATAGGAAGATATTCCGGTTTCCAACGAAATCTTCAAAGCTATCCACATATCCACCTGCAGATTCTACAAAAGGAGTGTTTCCAAAATGCTGTATCAAAACAAAGGTTCAACTCTGTTAGTTGAGGACACACATCACAAATAAGTTTCTGAGAATGCTTCTGTCTAGTTTTTATTTGAAGGTATTTCCTTTCTCTCCATAGGCCTGAAAGCGCTTGAAATGCCCACTTCCAGATACTAGAGAAAGAGTGTTTCAAACCTGCTCTATGAAAGGGAATGTTCAATTCTGTGACTTGAATGCAAACATCACAAAGAAGTTCCTGAGAATGCTTCTCTCTAGATATTATATGTCATCCCGTTTCCAACGAAATCCTCAAAGCTATCCAAATATCCACTTGCAGATTCTACAAAAAGAGTGTTTCAAAACTGCTCTGTCAAAAGGATGGTTCAACACTGTTACATGAGTACACACAACACAAAGAAGTTTACTGAGAATGCTTCTTTCTGGTTTCTATGAGAAGATATTTCCATTTTTCACCATAGGACTCAAAGCGCTCGAAATGTCCTCTTCCAGGTAGTGCAGAAAGAGTGTTTCAAACCTGCTCTATGAAAGGAAGTGTACAACTCCATGAGCTGAATGCAAACATCACTGAGAAGTTTCTAAGAATGCTTCTGTTTGATTTTATATGAAGAAATTCCCGTTTCCAACGAAATCTTCAGAGCTATCCACATATCCACATGCAGATTCTACAAAAGGAGTGTTTCCAAAATGCTGTATCAAAACCAAGGTTCAACTCTGTTAGTTGAGGACACACATCACAAATAAGTTTCTGAGAATGCTTCTGTCTAGATTTTATATGAAGATATCCCCTTTCCAACGAATCCCTCTAAGCTATCCAAATATCCACCTGCAGATTCTACAAAAAGAGTGTTTCCAAAATGCTGTATCAAAACAAAGTTTCAACTCTGTTAGTTGAGGACACACATCACAAATAAGTTTGAGGATGCTTCTGTCTAGTTTTTATTCGAAGATATTTCCTTTCTCACCATAGGCCTGAAAGCGCTTGAAATGTCCACTTCCAGATACTACAGAATGAGTGTTTCAAACCTGCTCTATCAAAGTGAATGTTCAATTCTGTGACTTCAATGCAAACATCACAAAGAAGTTCCTGAGAATGCTTCTCTCTAGATTTTATACGTAATCCCGCTTCCAACGAAATCCTCAGAGCCATCCGAATATCCACTTTCTGATTCCACAAAAAGAGTGTTTTAAAACGGCTCTGTAAAAACAAAAGTTCAACTCTGTTAGTTGAATACACACATCACAAACAAGTTTCTGAGAATGCTTCTGTCTAGTTTTTATGGGAAGATATTTCCTTTTTCACCATAGGCCTCAAAGCGCTCGAAATGTCCGCTTCCAGATAGTGCAGAAAGAGTGTTTCAAACGTGCTCTATAAAAGGGAATATTCAACTCTGTGACTTGAATGGAAACATCACAAAGCAGTTTCTGAGAATGCTTCCCTCTAGATTTTATATGGAGATATTCCCTTTTCCAACGAAATCTTCAAATCTATCTAAATATCAACTTGCAGATTCTACTCAAGGAATGTTTCCAAAATGCTGTATCCAGGCAATGGTTCAACTCTGTTAATTGAGGACATACAGCACAAAGAAGTTTCTGAGAATGCTTCTGTCTAGATTTTATATGAAGATATCCCGTTTCCAACGAAATCCTCAAAGCTATCCAAATATCCACTTGCAGATTCTACAAAAAGATTGTTTCAAAACTGCTGTGTCAAAAGGAAGGTTCAACTCTGTTACTTGAGTACACACATCAAAAAGAAGTTTCTGAGAATGCTTGTTTCTGGTTTTTATGAGAAGATATTTCCTTTTTCACCATAGGCCTCAAAGCGCTGCAAATGTCCACTTCCAAATATTACAAAAAGAGTGTTTCAAACCTGCTCTATGAAAGGAAGTTTTCAACTCTATGAGTGGAATGCAAACATCACAGAGAAGTTTCTGAGAATGCATCTGTCTTGAGTTTATATGCAGAAATTCCCGTTTCCAACGAAATCTTAAAATCTATCCAAATATCCACCTGCAGATCCTACAAAAGGAGTGTTTCCAAAATGCTGTATCAAAACAAAGGTTCAACTGTGTTCGTTTAGGACACACATCACAAATAAGTTTCTGAGAATCCTTCTGTCTAGTTTTTATTTGAAGATATTTCCTTTCTCCCCGTAGGCCTGAAAGCGCTTGAAATGTCCACTTCCAGATACTACAGAAAGAGTGTTTCAAACCTGCACTCTGAAAAGGAATGTTCAATTCTGTGACTTGAATGCAAACATCAGAAAGAAGTTCCTGAGAATGCTTCTCTCTAGATTTTATACGTCATCCCGTTTCCAACGAAATCCACAAAGCTATCCAATTATCCACTTTCAGATTCCACAGAAAGAGTGTTTTAAAATTGCTCTGTAACAGAAATGTTCAACTCTGGTAGTTGAATACACACATCACAAACAAGTTTCTGAGACGGCTTCTGTCTAGTTTTTATGGGAAGATATTTCCTTTTAACCATAGGCCTCAAAGAGCTCGAAATATCCACTTCCAGGTAGTGCCGAAAGAGTGTTTCAAACCTACTCTATAAAAGGGAATATTCAACTCTGTGACTTGAATGCAAACATCACAAAGCAGTTTCTGAGAATGCTTCCGTCTAGATTTTTTATGAAGATATTCCCGTTTCCAACGAAATCTTCAAAGCTATCTAAATATCAACTTGCAGATTCTACTAAAGGAATGTTTCCAAAATGCTGTATCCAAACAAAGGTTCAACTCTGTGAATTGAGGACATACAGCACAAAGAAGTTTCTGAGAATGCTCCTGTCTGGATTTTATAGGAAGATAACCCGTTTCCAACGAAATCCTCAAAGCTATCCAAATATCCACTTGCAGATTCTACCAAAAGAGTGTTTCAAAACTGCTCTGTCAAAAGGAAGGTTCAACACTGTTACTTGAGTACACACAACACAAAGAAGTTTCTGAGAATGCTTCTTTCTGGTTTTTATGAGAAGATATTTCCTTTTTCACCATAGGCCTCAAAGAGCTCGAAATGTCCGCTTCCAGGTAGGGCAGAAAGAGTGTTTCAAACCTGCTCTATGAAAGGAAGTGTTCAACTCTACTGAGTTGAATGCAAACATCACAGAGATGTTTCCGAGAATGCTTCTGTCTTGATTTTATAGGAAGATATTCCGGTTTCCAACGAAATCTTCAAAGCTATCCAAATATCCACCTGCAGATTCTACAAAAGGAGTGTTTCCAAAATGCTGTATCAAAACAAAGGTTCAACTCTGTTAGTTGAGGACACACATCACAAATAAGTTTCTGAGAATGCTTCTGTCTAGTTTTTATTTGAAGGTATTTCCTTTCTCTCCATAGGCCTGAAAGCGCTTGAAATGCCCACTTCCAGATACTAGAGAAAGAGTGTTTCAAACCTGCTCTATGAAAGGGAATGTTCAATTCTGTGACTTGAATGCAAACATCACAAAGAAGTTCCTGAGAATGCTTCTCTCTAGATATTATATGTCATCCCGTTTCCAACGAAATCCTCAAAGCTATCCAAATATCCACTTGCAGATTCTACAAAAAGAGTGTTTCAAAACTGCTCTGTCAAAAGGATGGTTCAACACTGTTACATGAGTACACACAACACAAAGAAGTTTCTGAGAATGCTTCTTTCTGGTTTCTATGAGAAGATATTTCCTTTTTCACCATAGGACTCAAAGCGCTCGAAATGTCCTCTTCCAGGTAGTGCAGAAAGAGTGTTTCAAACCTGCTCTATGAAAGGAAGTGTACAACTCCATGAGCTGAATGCAAACATCACTGAGAAGTTTCTGAGAATGCTTCTGTTTGATTTTATATGAAGAAATTCCCGTTTCCAACGAAATCTTCAGAGCTATCCACATATCCACCTGCAGATTCTACAAAAGGAGTGTTTCCAAAATGCTGTATCAAAACCAAGGTTCAACTCTGTTAGTTGAGGACACACATCACAAATAAGTTTCTGAGAATGCTTCTGTCTAGATTTTATATGAAGATATCCCCTTTCCAACGAATCCCTCTAAGCTATCCAAATATCCACCTGCAGATTCTACAAAAAGAGTGTTTCCAAAATGCTGTATCAAAACAAAGTTTCAACTCTGTTAGTTGAGGACACACATCACAAATAAGTTTGAGGATGCTTCTGTCTAGTTTTTATTCGAAGATATTTCCTTTCTCACCATAGGCCTGAAAGCGCTTGAAATGTCCACTTCCAGATACTACAGAATGAGTGTTTCAAACCTGCTCTATCAAAGTGAATGTTCAATTCTGTGACTTCAATGCAAACATCACAAAGAAGTTCCTGAGAATGCTTCTCTCTAGATTTTATACGTAATCCCGCTTCCAACGAAATCCTCAGAGCCATCCGAATATCCACTTTCTGATTCCACAAAAAGAGTGTTTTAAAACGGCTCTGTAAAAACAAAAGTTCAACTCTGTTAGTTGAATACACACATCACAAACAAGTTTCTGAGAATGCTTCTGTCTAGTTTTTATGGGAAGATATTTCCTTTTTCACCATAGGCCTCAAAGCGCTCGAAATGTCCGCTTCCAGATAGTGCAGAAAGAGTGTTTCAAACGTGCTCTATAAAAGGGAATATTCAACTCTGTGACTTGAATGGAAACATCACAAAGCAGTTTCTGAGAATGCTTCCCTCTAGATTTTATATGGAGATATTCCCTTTTCCAACGAAATCTTCAAATCTATCTAAATATCAACTTGCAGATTCTACTCAAGGAATGTTTCCAAAATGCTGTATCCAGGCAATGGTTCAACTCTGTTAATTGAGGACATACAGCACAAAGAAGTTTCTGAGAATGCTTCTGTCTAGATTTTATATGAAGATATCCCGTTTCCAACGAAATCCTCAAAGCTATCCAAATATCCACTTGCAGATTCTACAAAAAGATTGTTTCAAAACTGCTGTGTCAAGAGGAAGGTTCAACTCTGTTACTTGAGTACACACATCAAAAAGAAGTTTCTGAGAATGCTTGTTTCTGGTTTTTATGAGAAGATATTTCCTTTTTCACCATAGGCCTCAAAGCGCTGCAAATGTCCACTTCCAAATATTACAAAAAGAGTGTTTCAAACCTGCTCTATGAAAGGAAGTTTTCAACTCTATGAGTGGAATGCAAACATCACAGAGAAGTTTCTGAGAATGCATCTGTCTTGAGCTTCTATGAAGAAATTCCCGTTTCCAACGAAATCTTAAAATCTATCCAAATATCCACCTGCAGATCCTACAAAAGGAGTGTTTCCAAAATGCTGTATCAAAACAAAGGTTCAACTGTGTTCGTTTAGGACACACATCACAAATAAGTTTCTGAGAATCCTTCTCTCTAGTTTTTATTTGAAGATATTTCCTTTCTCCCTGTAGGCCTGAAAGCGCTTGAAATGTCCACTTCCAGATACTACAGAAAGAGTGTTTCAAACCTGCACTCTGAAAAGGAATGTTCAATTCTGTGACTTGAATGCAAACATCAGAAAGAAGTTCCTGAGAATGCTTCTCTCTAGATTTTATACGTCATCCCGTTTCCAACGAAATCCACAAAGCTATCCAATTATCCACTTTCAGATTCCACAAAAAGAGTGTTTTAAAATTGCTCTGTAACAGAAATGTTCAACTCTGTTAGTTGAATACACACATCACAAACAAGTTTGCTGAGACGGCTTCTGTCTAGTTTTTATGGGAAGATATTTCCTTTTAACCATAGGCCTCAAAGAGCTCGAAATATCCACTTCCAGGTAGTGCCGAAAGAGTGTTTCAAACCTACTCTATAAAAGGGAATATTCAACTCTGTGACTTGAATGCAAACATCACAAAGCAGTTTCTGAGAATGCTTCCGTCTAGATTTTCTATGAAGATATTCCCGTTTCCAACGAAATCTTCAAAGCTATCTAAATATCAACTTGCAGATTCTACTAAAGGAATGTCTCCAAAATGCTGTATCCAAACAAAGGTTCAGCTCTGTGAATTGAGGACATACAGCACAAAGAAGATTCTGAGAATGCTCCTGTCTGGATTTTATATGAAGATAACCCGTTTCCAACGAAATCCTCAAAGCTATCCAAATATCCACTTGCAGATTCTACCAAAAGAGTGTTTCAAAACTGCTCTGTCAAAAGGAAGGTTCAACACTGTTACTTGAGTACACACAACACAAAGAAGTTTCTGAGAATGCTTCTTTCTGGTTTTTATGAGAAGATATTTCCTTTTTCACCATAGGCCTCAAAGAGCTCGAAATGTCCGCTTCCAGGTAGGGCAGAAAGAGTGTTTCAAACCTGCTCTATGAAAGGAAGTGTTCAACTCTACTGAGTTGAATGCAAACATCACAGAGATGTTTCCGAGAATGCTTCTGTCTTGATTTTATAGGAAGATATTCCGGTTTCCAACGAAATCTTCAAAGCTATCCACATATCCACCTGCAGATTCTACAAAAGGAGTGTTTCCAAAATGCTGTATCAAAACAAAGGTTCAACTCTGTTAGTTGAGGACACACATCACAAATAAGTTTCTGAGAATGCTTCTGTCTAGTTTTTATTTGAAGGTATTTCCTTTCTCTCCATAGGCCTGAAAGCGCTTGAAATGCCCACTTCCAGATACTAGAGAAAGAGTGTTTCAAACCTGCTCTATGAAAGGGAATGTTCAATTCTGTGACTTGAATGCAAACATCACAAAGAAGTTCCTGAGAATGCTTCTCTCTAGTATATTATATGTCATCCCGTTTCCAACGAAATCCTCAAAGCTATCCAAATATCCACTTGCAGATTCTACAAAAAGAGTGTTTCAAAACTGCTCTGTCAAAAGGATGGTTCAACACTGTTACATGAGTACACACAACACAAAGAAGTTTCTGAGAATGCTTCTTTCTGGTTTCTATGAGAAGATATTTCCTTTTTCACCATAGGACTCAAAGCGCTCGAAATGTCCTCTTCCAGGTAGTGCAGAAAGAGTGTTTCAAACCTGCTCTATGAAAGGAAGTGTTCAACTCCATGAGCTGAATGCAAACATCACTGAGAAGTTTCTGAGAATGCTTCTGTTTGATTTTATATGAAGAAATTCCCGTTTCCAACGAAATCTTCAGAGCTATCCACATATCCACATGCAGATTCTACAAAAGGAGTGTTTCCAAAATGCTGTATCAAAACCAAGGTTCAACTCTGTTAGTTGAGGACACACATCACAAATAAGTTTCTGAGAATGCTTCTGTCTAGATTTTATATGAGGATATCCCCTTTCCAACGAATCCCTCTAAGCTATCCAAATATCCACCTGCAGATTCTACAAAAAGAGTGTTTCCAAAATGCTGTATCAAAACAAAGTTTCAACTCTGTTAGTTTAGGACACACATCACAAATAAGTTTCTGAGGATGCTTCTGTCTAGTTTTAATTTGAAGATATTTCCTTTCTCACCATAGGCCTGAAAGCGCTTGAAATGTCCACTTCCAGATAATACAGAATGAGTGTTTCAAACCTGCTCTATCAAAGTGAATGTTCAATTCTGTGACTTCAATGCAAACATCACAAAGTAGTTCCTGAGAATGCTTCTCTCTAGATTTTAAATGTAATCCCGCTTCCAACGAAATCCTCAAAGCCATCCGAAAATCCACTTTCTGATTCCACAAAAAGATTGTTTTAAAACTGCTCTGTAAAAACAAAAGTTCAAGTCTGTTAGTTGAATACACACATCACAAACAAGTTTCTGAGAATGCTTCTGTCTAGTTTTTATGGGAAGATACTTCCTTTTTCACCATAGGCCTCAAAGCGCTCGAAATGTCCACTTCCAGATAGTGCAGAAAGAGTGTTTCAAACGTGCTCTATAAAAGAGAATATTCAACTCTGTGACTTGAATGGAAACATCACAAAGCAGTTTCTGAGAATGCCTCCGTCTAGATTTTCTATGAAGATATTCCCGGTTCCAACGAAATCTTCAAAGCTATCTAAATATCAACTTGCAGATTCTACTAAAGTAATGTTTCCAAAATGCTGTATCCAAGCAATGGTTCAACTCTGTTAATTGAGGACATACAGCACAAAGAAGTTTCTGAGAATGCTTCTTTCTAGATTTTATATGAAGATATCCCGTTTCCAACGAAATCCTCAAAGCTATCCAAATATCCACTTGCAGATTCTACAGAAAGATTGTTTCAAAACTGCTGTGTCAAAAGGAAGGTTCAACTCTGTTACTTGAGTACACACATCAAAAAGCAGTTTCTGAGAATGCTTGTTTCTGGTTTTTATGAGAAGATATTTCCTTTTTCACCATAGGCCTCAAAGCGCTGCAAATGTCCACTTCCAAATATTACAAAAAGAGTGTTTCAAACCTGCTCTATGAAAGGAAGTTTTCAACTCTATGAGTGGAATGCAAACATCACAGAGAAGTTTCTGAGAATGCATCTGTCTTGAGTTTATATGAAGAAATTCCCGTTTCCAATGAAATCTTAAAATCTATCCAAATATCCACCGGCAGATTCTACAAAAGGAGTGTTTCCAAAATGCTGTATCAAAACAAAGGTTCAACTGTGTTCGTTTAGGACACACATCACAAATAAGTTTCTGAGAATCCTTCTGTCTAGTTTTTATTTCAAGATATTTCCTTTCTCCCCAATAGGCTTGAAAGCGCTTGAAATGTCCACTTCCAGATACTACAGAGTGTTTCAAACCTGCACTATGAAAAGGAATGTTCAATTCTGTGACTTGAATGCAAACATCAGAAAGAAGTTCCTGAGAATGCTTCTCTCTAGATTTTAAACGTAATCCCGTTTCCAACGAAATCCACAGAGCTATCCAATTATCCACTTTCAGATTCCACCAAAAGACTGTTTTAAAACTGCTCTGTAAAAAGAAATGTTCAACGCTCTTAGTTGAATACACACATCTCAAACAAGTTTCTGAGAAGGCTTCCGTCTAGTTTTTATGGGAAGATATTTCCTTTTTCACCATAGGCCTCAAAGCGCTCGAAATCTCCACTTCCAGGGAATGCAGAAAGAGTGTTTCAAACCTGCTCTGTAAAAGAATATTTAACTCTGTGACTTGAATGCAAACATCACAGAGCAGTTTCTGACAATGCTTCCGTCTAGATTTTTTATGAAGATATTCCCGTTTCCAACGAAATCTTCAAAGCTATCTAAATATCAACTTGCAGATTCTACTAAAGGAATGTTTCCAAAATGCTGTATCCAAACAAAGGTTCAACTCTGTGAATTGAGGACATACAGCACAAAGAAGTTTCTGAGAATGCTTCTGTCTAGATTTAATATGAAGATAACCCGTTTCCAATGAAATCCTCAAAGCTATCCAAATATCCACTTGCAGATTCTACAAAAAGAGTGTTTCAAAACTGCTCTGTCAAAAGGATGGTTCAACACTGTTACATGAGTACACACAACACAAAGAAGTTTCTGAGAACGCTTCTTTCTGGTTTTTATGAGAGGATATTTCCTTTTTCACCATAGGCCTCAAAGCGCTCGAAATGTCCACTTCCAGGTAGTGCAGAAAGAGTGTTTCAAACCTGCTCTATGAAAGGAAGTGTTCAACTCCATGAGCTGAATGCAAACATCACAGAGAAGTTCCTGAGAATGCTTCTGTTTGATTTTATATGAAGAAATTCCCGTTTCCAACGAAATCTTCAAAGCTATCCACATATCCACCTGCAGATTCTTCAAAAGGAGTGTTTCCAAAATGCTGTATCAAAACCAAGGTTCAACTCTGTTAGTTGAGGACACACATCACAAATAAGTTTCTGAGAATGCTTCTGTCTAGATTTTATATGAAGATATCCCCTTTCCAACGAATCCCTCTAAGCTATCCAAATATCCACCTGCAGATTCTACAAAAAGAGTGTTTCCAAAATGCTGTATCAAAACAAAGTTTCAACTCTGTTAGTTGAGGACACACATCACAAATAAGTTTCTGAGGATGCTTCTGTCTAGTTTTAATTTGAAGATATTTCCTTTCTCACCATAGGCCTGAAAGCGCTTGAAATGTCCACTTCCAGATACTACAGCATGAGTGTTTCAAACCTGCTCTATCATAGTGAATGTTCAATTCTGTGACTTCAATGCAAACATCACAAAGTAGTTCCTGAGAATGCTTCTCTCTAGATTTTATATGTAATCCCGCTTCCAACGAAATCCTCAAAGCCATCCGAATATCCACTTTCTGATTCCACAAAAAGATTGTTTTAAAACTGCTCTGTAAAAACAAAAGTTCAAGTCTGTTAGTTGAATACACACATCACAAACAAGTTTCTGAGAATGCTTCTGTCTAGTTTTTATGGGAAGATATTTCCTTTTTCACCATAGGCCTCAAAGCGCTCGAAATGTCCACTTCCAGACAGTGCAGAAAGAGTGTTTCAAACGTGCTCTATAAAAGAGAATATTCAACTCTGTGACTTGAATGGAAACATCACAAAGCAGTTTCTGAGAATGCCTCCGTCTAGATTTTATATGAAGATATTCCCGTTTCCAACGAAATCTTCAATGCTATCTAAATATCAACTTGCAGATTCTACTAAAGGAATGTTTCCAAAATGCTGTATCCAAGCAATGGTTCAACTCTGTTAATTGAGGACATACAGCACAAAGAAGTTTCTGAGAATGCTTCTGTCTAGATTTTATATGAAGATATCCCGTTTCCAACGAAATCCTCAAAGCTATCCAAATATCCACTTGCAGATTCTACAAAAAGATTGTTTCAAAACTGCTGTGTCAAAAGGAAGGTTCAACTCTGTTACTTGAGTACACACATCAAAAAGCAGTTTCTGAGAATGCTTGTTTCTGGTTTTTATGAGAAGATATTTCCTTTTTCACCATAGGCCTCAAAGCGCTGCAAATGTCCACTTCCAAATATTACAAAAAGAGTGTTTCAAACCTGCTCTATGAAAGGAAGTTTTCAACTCTGTGAGTGGAATGCAAACATCACAGAGAACTTTCTGAGAATGCATCTGTCTTGAGTTTATATGAAGAAATTCCCGTTTCCAATGAAATCTTAAAATCTATCCAAATATCCACCTGCAGATTCTACAAAAGGAGTGTTTCCAAAATGCTGTATCAAAACAAAGGTTCAACTGTGTTCGTTTAGGACACACATCACAAATAAGTTTCTGAGAATCCTTCTGTCTGGTTTTTATTTGAAGAGATTTCCTTTCTCCCCGTAGGCCTGAAAGCGCTTGAAATGTCCACTTCCAGATACTACAGAAAGAGTGTTTCAAACCTGCACTCTGAAAAGGAATGTTCAATTCTGTGACTTGAATGCAAACATCAGAAAGAAGTTCCTGAGAATGCTTCTCTCTAGATTTTATACGTCATCCCGTTTCCAACGAAATCCACAAAGCTATCCAATTATCCACTTTCAGATTCCACAAAAAGAGTGTTTTAAAATTGCTCTGTAACAGAAATGTTCAACTCTGTTAGTTGAATACACACATCACAAACAAGTTTCTGAGACGGCTTCTGTCTAGTTTTTATGGGAAGATATTTCCTTTTAACCATAGGCCTCAAAGAGCTCGAAATATCCACTTCCAGGTAGTGCCGAAAGAGTGTTTCAAACCTACTCTATAAAAGGGAATATTCAACTCTGTGACTTGAATGCAAACATCACTGAGAAGTTTCTGAGAATGCTTCCGTCTAGATTTTCTATGAAGATATTCCCGTTTCCAACGAAATCTTCAAAGCTATCTAAATATCAACTTGCAGATTCTACTAAAGGAATGTCTCCAAAATGCTGTATCCAAACAAAGGTTCAACTCTGTGAATTGAGGACATACAGCACAAAGAAGTTTCTGAGAATGCTCCTGTCTGGATTTTATATGAAGATAACCCGTTTCCAACGAAATCCTCAAAGCTATCCAAATATCCACTTGCCGATTCTACACAAAGAGTGTTTCAAAACTCCTCTGTCAAAAGGATGGTTCAACACTGTTACATGAGTACACACAACACAAAGAAGTTTCTGAGAATGCTTCTTTCTGGTTTCTATGAGAAGATATTTCCTTTTTCACCATAGGACTCAAAGCGCTCGAAATGTCCTCTTCCAGGTAGTGCAGAAAGAGTGTTTCAAACCTGCTCTATGAAAGGAAGTGTACAACTCCATGAGCTGAATGCAAACATCACTGAGAAGTTTCTGAGAATGCTTCTGTTTGATTTTATATGAAGAAATTCCCGTTTCCAACGAAATCTTCAGAGCTATCCACATATCCACCTGCAGATTCTACAAAAGGAGTGTTTCCAAAATGCTGTATCAAAACCAAGGTTCAACTCTGTTAGTTGAGGACACACATCACAAATAAGTTTCTGAGAATGCTTCTGTCTAGATTTTATATGAAGATATCCCCTTTCCAACGAATCCCTCTAAGCTATCCAAATATCCACCTGCAGATTCTACAAAAAGAGTGTTTCCAAAATGCTGTATCAAAACAAAGTTTCAACTCTGTTAGTTGAGGACACACATCACAAATAAGTTTCTGAGGATGCTTCTGTCTAGTTTTTATTCGAAGATATTTCCTTTCTCACCATAGGCCTGAAAGCGCTTGAAATGTCCACTTCCAGATACTACAGAATGAGTGTTTCAAACCTGCTCTATAAAAGTGAATGTTCAATTCCGTGACTTCAATGCAAACATCAGAAAGAAGTTCCTGAGAATGCTTCTCTCTAGATTTTATACGTAATCCCGCTTCCAACGAAATCCTCAGAGCCATCCGAATATCCACTTTCTGATTCCACAAAAAGAGTGTTTTAAAACGGCTCTGTAAAAACAAAAGTTCAACTCTGTTAGTTGAATACACACATCACAAACAAGTTTCTGAGAATGCTTCTGTCTAGTTTTTATGGGAAGATATTTCCTTTTTCACCATAGGCCTCACAGCGCTCGAAATGTCCACTTCCAGATAGCGCAGAAAGAGTGTTTCAAACGTGCTCTATAAAAGGGAATATTCAACTCTGTGACTTGAATGGAAACATCACAAAGCAGTTTCTGAGAATGCTTCCCTCTAGATTTTATATGGAGATATTCCGTTTTCGAACGAAATCTTCAAATCTATCTAAATATCAACTTGCAGATTCTACTCAAGGAATGTTTCCAAAATGCTGTATGCAAGCAATGGTTCAACTCTGTTAATTGAGGTCATACAGCACAAAGAAGTTTCTGAGAATGCTTCTGTCTAGATTTTATATGAAGATATCCCGTTTCCAACGAAATCCTCAAAGCTATCCAAATATCCACTTGCAGATTCTACAAAAAGATTGTTTCAAAACTGCTGTGTCAAAAGGAAGGTTCAACTCTGTTACTTGAGTACACACATCAAAAAGAAGTTTCTGAGAATGCTTGTTTCTGGTTTTTATGAGAAGATATTTCCTTTTTCACCATAGGCCTCAAAGCGCTGCAAATGTCCACTTCCAAATGTTACAAAAAGAGTGTTTCAAACCTGCTCTATGAAAGGAAGTTTTCAACTCTATGAGTGGAATGCAAACATCACAGAGAAGTTTCTGAGAATGCATCTGTCTTGAGCGTCTATGAAGAAATTCCCGTTTCCAACGAAATTTTAAAATCTATCCAAATATCCACCTGCAGATCCTACAAAAGGAGTGTTTCCAAAATGCTGTATCAAAACAAAGGTTCAACTGTGTTCGTTTAGGACACACATCACAAATAAGTTTCTGAGAATCCTTCTCTCTAGTTTTTATTTGAAGATATTTCCTTTCTCCCCGTAGGCCTGAAAGCGCTTGAAATGTCCACTTCCAGATACTACAGAAAGAGTGTTTCAAACCTGCACTCTGAAAAGGAATGTTCAATTCTGTGACTTGAATGCAAACATCAGAAAGAAGTTCCTGAGAATGCTTCTCTCTAGATTTTATACGTCATCCCGTTTCCAACGAAATCCACAAAGCTATCCAATTATCCACTTTCAGATTCCACAAAAAGAGTGTTTTAAAATTGCTCTGTAACAGAAATGTTCAACTCTGTTAGTTGAATACACACATCACAAACTAGTTTCTGAGACGGCTTCTGTCTAGTTTTTATGGGAAGATATTTCCTTTTAACCATAGGCCTCAAAGAGCTCGAAATATCCACTTCCAGGTAGTGCCGAAAGAGTGTTTCAAACCTACTCTATAAAAGGGAATATTCAACTCTGTGACTTGAATGCAAACATCACAAAGCAGTTTCTGAGAATGCTTCCGTCTAGATTTTCTATGAAGATATTCCCGTTTCCAACGAAATCTTCGAAGCTATCTAAATATCAACTTGCAGATTCTACTAAAGGAATGTCTCCAAAATGCTGTATCCAAACAAAGGTTCAGCTCTGTGAATTGAGGACATACAGCACAAAGAAGTTTCTGAGAATGCTCCTGTCTGGATTTTATAGGAAGATAACCCGTTTCCAACGAATTCCTCAAAGCTCTCCAAATATCCACTTGCAGATTCTACCAAAAGAGTGTTTCAAAACTGCTCTGTCAAAAGGAAGGTTCAACACTGTTACTTGAGTACACACAACACAAAGAAGTTTCTGAGAATGCTTCTTTCTGGTTTTTATGAGAAGATATTTCCTTTTTCACCATAGGCCTCAAAGCGCTCGAAATGTCCGCTTCCAGGTAGTGCAGAAAGAGTGTTTCAAACCTGCTCTATGAAAGGAAGTGTTCAACTCTACTGAGTTGAATGCAAACATCACAGAGATGTTTCCGAGAATGCTTCTGTCTTGATTTTATATGAAGATATTCCGGTTTCCAACGAAATCTTCAAAGCTATCCAAATATCCACCTGCAGATTCTACAAAAGGAGTGTTTCCAAAATGCTGTATCAAAACAAAGGTTCAACTCTGTTAGTTGAGGACACACATCACAAATAAGTTTCTGAGAATGCTTCTGTCTAGTTTTTATTTGAAGGTATTTCCTTTCTCTCCATAGGCCTGAAAGCGCTTGAAATGCCCACTTCCAGATACTAGAGAAAGAGTGTTTCAAACCTGCTCTATGAAAGGGAATGTTCAATTCTGTGACTTGAATGCAAACATCACAAAGAAGTTCCTGAGAATGCTTCTCTCTAGATATTATATGTCATCCCGTTTCCAACGAAATCCTCAAAGCTATCCAAATATCCACTTGCAGATTCTACAAAAAGAGTGTTTCAAAACTGCTCTGTCAAAAGGATGGTTCAACACTGTTACATGAGTACACACAACACAAAGAAGTTTCTGAGAATGCTTCTTTCTGGTTTCTATGAGAAGATATTTCCTTTTTCACCATAGGACTCAAAGCGCTCGAAATGTCCTCTTCCAGGTAGTGCAGAAAGAGTGTTTCAAACCGGCTCTATGAAAGGAAGTGTTCAACTCCATGAACTGAATGCAAACATCACTGAGAAGTTTCTGAGAATGCTTCTGTTTGATTTTATATGAAGAAATTCCCGTTTCCAACGAAATCTTCAGAGCTATCCACATATCCACCTGCAGATTCTACAAAAGGAGTGTTTCCAAAATGCTGTATCAAAACCAAAGTTCAACTCTGTTAGTTGAGGACACACATCACAAATAAGTTTCTGAGAATGCTTCTGTCTAGATTCTATATGAAGATATCCCCTTTCCAACGAATCCCTCTAAGCTATCCAAATATCCACCTGCAGATTCTACAAAAAGAGTGTTTCCAAAATGCTGTATCAAAACAAAGTTTCAACTCTGTTAGTTGAGGACACACATCACAAATAAGTTTGAGGATGCTTCTGTCTAGTTTTTATTCGAAGATATTTCCTTTCTCACCATAGGCCTGAAAGCGCTTGAAATGTCCACTTCCAGATACTACAGAATGAGTGTTTCAAACCTGCTCTATCAAAGTGAATGTTCAATTCTGTGACTTCAATGCAAACATCACAAAGAAGTTCCTGAGAATGCTTCTCTCTAGATTTTATACGTAATCCCGCTTCCAACGAAATCCTCAGAGCCATCCGAATATCCACTTTCTGATTCCACAAAAAGAGTGTTTTAAAACGGCTCTGTAAAAACAAAAGTTCAACTCTGTTAGTTGAATACACACATCACAAACAAGTTTCTAAGAATGCTTCTGTCTAGTTTTTATGGGAAGATATTTCCTTTTTCACCATAGGCCTCAAAGCGCTCGAAATGTCCGCTTCCAGATAGTGCAGAAAGAGTGTTTCAAACGTGCTCTATAAAAGGGAATATTCAACTCTGTGACTTGAATGGAAACATCACAAAGCAGTTTCTGAGAATGCTTCCCTCTAGATTTTATATGGAGATATTCCCTTTTCCAACGAAATCTTCAAATCTATCTAAATATCAACTTGCAGATTCTACTCAAGGAATGTTTCCAAAATGCTGTATCCAGGCAATGGTTCAACTCTGTTAATTGAGGACATACAGCACAAAGAAGTTTCTGAGAATGCTTCTGTCTAGATTTTATATGAAGATATCCCGTTTCCAACGAAATCCTCAAAGCTATCCAAATATCCACTTGCAGATTCTACAAAAAGATTGTTTCAAAACTGCTGTGTCAAGAGGAAGGTTCAACTCTGTTACTTGAGTACACACATCAAAAAGAAGTTTCTGAGAATGCTTGTTTCTGGTTTTTATGAGAAGATATTTCCTTTTTCACCATAGGCCTCAAAGCGCTGCAAATGTCCACTTCCAAATATTACAAAAAGAGTGTTTCAAACCTGCTCTATGAAAGGAAGTTTTCAACTCTATGAGTGGAATGCAAACATCACAGAGAAGTTTCTGAGAATGCATCTGTCTTGAGCTTCTATGAAGAAATTCCCGTTTCCAATGAAATCTTAAAATCTATCCAAATATCCACCTGCAGATCCTACAAAAGGAGTGTTTCCAAAATGCTGTATCAAAACAAAGGTTCAACTGTGTTCGTTTAGGACACACATCACAAATAAGTTTCTGAGAATCCTTCTGTCTAGTTTTTATTTGAAGATATTTCCTTTCTCCCCGTAGGCCTGAAAGCGCTTGAAATGTCCACTTCCAGATACTACAGAAAGAGTGTTTCAAACCTGCACTCTGAAAAGGAATGTTCAATTCTGTGACTTGAATGCAAACATCAGAAAGAAGTTCCTGAGAATGCTTCTCTCTAGATTTTATACGTCATCCCGTTTCCAACGAAATCCACAAAGCTATCCAATTATCCACTTTCAGATTCCACAGAAAGAGTGTTTTAAAATTGCTCTGTAACAGAAATGTTCAACTCTGGTAGTTGAATACACACATCACAAACAAGTTTCTGAGACGGCTTCTGTCTAGTTTTTATGGGAAGATATTTCCTTTTAACCATAGGCCTCAAAGAGCTCGAAATATCCACTTCCAGGTAGTGCCGAAAGAGTGTTTCAAACCTACTCTATAAAAGGGAATATTCAACTCTGTGACTTGAATGCAAACATCACAAAGCAGTTTCTGAGAATGCTTCCGTCTAGATTTTCTATGAAGATATTCCCGTTTCCAACGAAATCTTCAAAGCTATCTAAATATCAACTTGCAGATTCTACTAAAGGAATGTCTCCAAAATGCTGTATCCAAACAAAGGTTCAGCTCTGTGAATTGAGGACATACAGCACAAAGAAGTTTCTGAGAATGCTCCTGTCTGGATTTTATATGAAGATAACCCGTTTCCAACGAATTCCTCAAAGCTCTCCAAATATCCACTTGCAGATTCTACCAAAAGAGTGTTTCAAAACTGCTCTGTCAAAAGGAAGGTTCAACACTGTTACTTGAGTACACACAACACAAAGAAGTTTCTGAGAATGCTTCTTTCTGGTTTTTATGAGAAGATATTTCCTTTTTCACCATAGGCCTCAAAGCGCTCGAAATGTCCGCTTCCAGGTAGTGCAGAAAGAGTGTTTCAAACCTGCTCTATGAAAGGAAGTGTTCAACTCTACTGAGTTGAATGCAAACATCACAGAGATGTTTCCGAGAATGCTTCTGTCTTGATTTTATATGAAGATATTCCGGTTTCCAACGAAATCTTCAAAGCTATCCAAATATCCACCTGCAGATTCTACAAAAGGAGTGTTTCCAAAATGCTGTATCAAAACAAAGGTTCAACTCTGTTAGTTGAGGACACACATCACAAATAAGTTTCTGAGAATGCTTCTGTCTAGTTTTTATTTGAAGGTATTTCCTTTCTCTCCATAGGCCTGAAAGCGCTTGAAATGCCCACTTCCAGATACTAGAGAAAGAGTGTTTCAAACCTGCTCTATGAAAGGGAATGTTCAATTCTGTGACTTGAATGCAAACATCACAAAGAAGTTCCTGAGAATGCTTCTCTCTAGATATTATATGTCATCCCGTTTCCAACGAAATCCTCAAAGCTATCCAAATATCCACTTGCAGATTCTACAAAAAGAGTGTTTCAAAACTGCTCTGTCAAAAGGATGGTTCAACACTGTTACATGAGTACACACAACACAAAGAAGTTTCTGAGAATGCTTCTTTCTGGTTTCTATGAGAAGATATTTCCTTTTTCACCATAGGACTCAAAGCGCTCGAAATGTCCTCTTCCAGGTAGTGCAGAAAGAGTGTTTCAAACCTGCTCTATGAAAGGAAGTGTACAACTCCATGAGCTGAATGCAAACATCACTGAGAAGTTTCTGAGAATGCTTCTGTTTGATTTTATATGAAGAAATTCCCGTTTCCAACGAAATCTTCAGAGCTATCCACATATCCACCTGCAGATTCTACAAAAGGAGTGTTTCCAAAATGCTGTATCAAAACCAAGGTTCAACTCTGTTAGTTGAGGACACACATCACAAATAAGTTTCTGAGAATGCTTCTGTCTACATTTTATATGAATTTATCCCCTTTCCAACGAATCCCTCTAAGCTATCCAAGTATCCACCTGCAGATTCTACAAAAAGAGTGTTTCCAAAATGCTGTATCAAAACAAAGTTTCAACTCTGTTAGTTGAGGACACACATCACAAATAAGTTTCTGAGGATGCTTCTCTCTAGTTTTTATTTGAAGATATTTCCTTTCTCCCCATAGGCCTGAAAGCGCTTGAATTGTCCGCTTCCAGATACTACAGAATGAGTGTTTCAAACCTGCTCTATCAAAGTGAATGTTCAATTCTGTGACTTCAATGCAAACGTCACAAAGTAGTTCCTGAGAATGCTTCTCTCTAGATTTTATATGTAATCCCGCTTCCAACGAAGTCCTCAAAGCCATCCAAATATCCACTTTCTGATTCCACAAAAAGATTGTCTTAAAACTGCTCTGTAAAAACAAACGTTCAAGTCTGTTAGTTGAATACACACATCATAAACAAGTTTCTGAGAATGCTTCTGTCTAGTTTTTATGGGAAGATATTTCCTTTTTCACCGTAGGCCTCACTGCGCTCGAAATGTCCACTAACAGATAGTACAGAAAGAGAGTTTCAAACGTGCTCTACAAAAGAGAATATTCAACTCTGTGACTTGAATGGAAACATCACAAAGCAGTTTCTGAGAATGCCTCCGTCTAGATTTTATATGAAGATATTCCCGTTTCCAACGAAATCTTCAAATCTATCTAAATATCAACTTGCAGATTCTACTAAAGGAATGTTTCCAAAATGCTGTATCCAAGCAATGGTTCAACTCTGTTAATTGAGGACATACAGCACAAAGAAGTTTCTGAGAATGCTTCTGTCTAGATTTTATATGAAGATATCCCGTTTCCAACGAAATCCTCAAAGCTATCCAAATATCCACTTGCAGATTCTACAAAAAGATTGTTTCAAAACTGCTCTGTCAAAAGGATGGTTCAACACTGTTACATGAGTACACACAACACAAAGAAGTTTCTGAGAACGCTTCTTTCTGGTTTTTATGAGAAGATATTTCCTTTTTCACCATAAGCCTCAAAGCGCTCGAAATGTCCACTTCCTGGTAGTGCAGAAAGAGTGTTTCAAACCTGCTCTATGAAAGGAAGTGTTCAACTCCATGAGCTGAATGCAAACATCACAGAGAAGTTTCTGAGAATGCTTCTGTTTGATTTTATATGAAGAAATTCCCGTTTCCAACGAAATCTTCAAAGCTATCCACATATCCACCTGCAGATTCTACAAAAGGAGTGTTTCCAAAATGCTGTATCAAAACCAAGGTTCCACTCTGTTAGTTGAGGACACACATCACAAATAAGTTTCTGAGAATGCTTCTGTCTAGCATTTTATATGAAGATATCCCCTTTCCAACGAATCCCTCTAAGCTATCCAAATATCCACCTGCAGATTCTACAAAAAGAGTGTTTCCAAAATGCTGTATCAAAACAAAGTTTCAACTCTGTTAGTTGAGGACACACATCACAAATAAGTTTCTGAGGATGCTTCTGTCTAGTTTTTATTCGAAGATATTTCCTTTCTCACCATAGGCCTGAAAGCGCTTGAAATGTCCACTTCCAGATACTACAGAATGAGTGTTTCAAACCTGCTCTATCAAAGTGAATGTTCAATTCTGTGACTTCAATGCAAACATCACAAAGAAGTTCCTGAGAATGCTTCTCTCTAGATTTTATACGTAATCCCGCTTCCAACGAAATCCTCAGAGCCATCCGAATATCCACTTTCTGATTCCACAAAAAGAGTGTTTTAAAACGGCTCTGTAAAAACAAAAGTTCAACTCTGTTAGTTGAATACACACATCACAAACAAGTTTCTGAGAATGCTTCTGTCTAGTTTTTATGGGAAGATATTTCCTTTTTCACCATAGGCCTCAAAGCGCTCGAAATGTCCGCTTCCAGATAGTGCAGAAAGAGTGTTTCAAACGTGCTCTATAAAAGGGAATATTCAACTCTGTGACTTGAATGGAAACATCACAAAGCAGTTTCTGAGAATGCTTCCCTCTAGATTTTATATGGAGATATTCCCTTTTCCAACGAAATCTTCAAATCTATCTAAATATCAACTTGCAGATTCTACTCAAGGAATGTTTCCAAAATGCTGTATCCAGGCAATGGTTCAACTCTGTTAATTGAGGACATACAGCACAAAGAAGTTTCTGAGAATGCTTCTGTCTAGATTTTATATGAAGATATCCCGTTTCCAACGAAATCCTCAAAGCTATCCAAATATCCACTTGCAGATTCTACAAAAAGATTGTTTCAAAACTGCTGTGTCAAAAGGAAGGTTCAACACTGTTACTTGAGTACACACATCAAAAAGAAGTTTCTGAGAATGCTTGTTTCTGGTTTTTATGAGAAGATATTTCCTTTTTCACCATAGGCCTCAAAGCGCTGCAAATGTCCACTTCCAAATATTACAAAAAGAGTGTTTCAAACCTGCTCTATGAAAGGAAGTTTTCAACTCTATGAGTGGAATGCAAACATCACAGAGAAGTTTCTGAGAATGCATCTGTCTTGAGCTTCTATGAAGAAATTCCCGTTTCCAACGAAATCTTAAAATCTATCCAAATATCCACCTGCAGATCCTACAAAAGGAGTGTTTCCAAAATGCTGTATCAAAACAAAGGTTCAACTGTGTTCGTTTAGGACACACATCACAAATAAGTTTCTGAGAATCCTTCTGTCTAGTTTTTATTTGAAGATATTTCCTTTCTCCCCGTAGGCCTGAAAGCGCTTGAAATGTCCACTTCCAGATACTACAGAAAGAGTGTTTCAAACCTGCACTCTGAAAAGGAATGTTCAATTCTGTGACTTGAATGCAAACATCAGAAAGAAGTTCCTGAGAATGCTTCTCTCTAGATTTTATACGTCATCCCGTTTCCAACGAAATCCACAAAGCTATCCAATTATCCACTTTCAGATTCCACAAAAAGAGTGTTTTAAATTGCTCTGTAACAGAAATGTTCAACTCTGTTAGTTGAATACACACATCACAAACAAGTTTCTGAGACGGCTTCTGTCTAGTTTTTATGGGAAGATATTTCCTTTTAACCATAGACCTCAAAGAGCTCGAAATATCCACTTCCAGGTAGTGCCGAAAGAGTGTTTCAAACCTACTCTATAAAAGGGAATATTCAACTCTGTGACTTGAATGCAAACATCACAAAGCAGTTTCTGAGAATGCTTCCGTCTAGATTTTCTATGAAGATATTCCCGTTTCCAACGAAATCTTCAAAGCTATCTAAATATCAACTTGCAGATTCTACTAAAGGAATGTCTCCAAAATGCTGTATCCAAACAAAGGTTCAGCTCTGTGAATTGAGGACATACAGCACAAAGAAGTTTCTGAGAATGCTCCTGTCTGGATTTTATAGGAAGATAACCCGTTTCCAACGAAATCCTCAAAGCTATCCAAATATCCACTTGCAGATTCTACCAAAAGAGTGTTTCAAAACTGCTCTGTCAAAAGGAAGGTTCAACACTGTTACTTGAGTACACACAACACAAAGAAGTTTCTGAGAATGCTTCTTTCTGGTTTTTATGAGAAGATATTTCCTTTTTCACCATAGGCCTCAAAGCGCTCGAAATGTCCGCTTCCAGGTAGTGCAGAAAGAGTGTTTCAAACCTGCTCTATGAAAGGAAGTGTTCAACTCTACTGAGTTGAATGCAAACATCACAGAGATGTTTCCGAGAATGCTTCTGTCTTGATTTTATATGAAGATATTCCGGTTTCCAACGAAATCTTCAAAGCTATCCAAATATCCACCTGCAGATTCTACAAAAGGAGTGTTTCCAAAATGCTGTATCAAAACAAAGGTTCAACTCTGTTAGTTGAGGACACACATCACAAATAAGTTTCTGAGAATGCTCTGTCTAGTTTTTATTTGAAGGTATTTCCTTTCTCTCCATAGGCCTGAAAGCGCTTGAAATGCCCACTTCCAGATACTAGAGAAAGAGTGTTTCAAACCTGCTCTATGAAAGGGAATGTTCAATTCTGTGACTTGAATGCAAACATCACAAAGAAGTTCCTGAGAATGCTTTCTGTCTAGATTTAATATGAAGATAACCCGTTTCCAACGAAATCCTCAAAGCTATCCAAATATCCACTTGCAGATTCTACAAAAAGAGTGTTTAAAAACTGCTCTGTCAAAAGGATGGTTCAACACTGTTACATGAGTACACACAACACAAAGAAGTTTCTGAGGACGCTTCTTTCTGGTTTTTATGAGAAGATATTTCCTTTTTCACCATAGGCCTCAAAGCGCTCGAAATGTCCACTTCCAAGTAGTGCAGAAAGAGTGTTTCAAACCTGCTCTATGAAAGGAAGTGTTCAACTCCATGAGCTGAATGCAAACATCACAGAGAAGTTTCTGAGAATGCTTCTGTTTGATTTTATATGAAGAAATTCCCGTTTCCAACGAAATCTTCAAAGCTATCCACATATCCACCTGCAGATTCTTCAAAAGGAGTGTTTCCAAAATGCTGTATCAAAACCAAGGTTCAACTCTGTTAGTTGAGGACACACATCACAAATAAGTTTCTTAGAATGCTTCTGTCTAGATTTTATATGAAGATATCCCCTTTCCAACGAATCCCTCTAAGCTATCCAAATATCCACCTGCAGATTCTACAAAAAGAGTGTTTCCAAAATGCTGTATCAAAACAAAGTTTAAACTCTGTTATTTGAGGACACACATCATAAATAAGTTTCTGAGGTTGCTTCTGTCTAGTTTTCATTTGAAGACATTTCCTTTCTCACCATAGGCCTGAAAGCGCTTGAAATGTCCACTTCCAGATACTACAGAATGAGTGTTTCATACCTGCTCTATCAAAGTGAATGTTCAATTCTGTGACTTCAATGCAAACATCACAAAGTAGTTCCTGAGAATGCTTCTCTCTAGATTTTATATGTAATCCCGCTTCCAACGAAATCCTCAAAGCCATCCGAATATCCACTTTCTGATTCCACAAAAAGATTGTTTTAAAACTGCTCTGTAAAAACAAAAGTTCAAGTCTGTTAGTTGAATACACACATCACAAACAAGTTTCTGAGAATGCTTCTGTCTAGTTTTTATGGGAAGATATTTCCTTTTTCACCATAGGCCTCAAAGCGCTCGAAATGTCCACTTCCAGGTAGTGCAGAAAGAGTGTTTCAACCCTGCTCTATGAAAGGAAGTGTTCAACTCCATGAGCTGAATGCAAACATCACAGAGAAGTTTCTGAGAATGCTTCCATCTAGATTTTATATGAAGATATTCCCGTTTCCAACGAAATCTTCAAATCTATCTAAATATCAACTTGCAGATTCTACTAAAGGAATGTTTCCAAAATGCTGTATCCAAGCAATGGTTCAACTCTGTTAATTGAGGACATACAGCACAAAGAAGTTTCTGAGAATGCTTCTGTCTAGATTTTATATGAAGATATCCCGTTTCCAACGAAATCCTCAAAGCTCTCCAAATATCCACTTGCAGATTCTACAAAAAGATTGTTTCAAAACTGCTGTGTCAAAAGGAAGGTTCAACTCTGTTACTTGAGTACACACATCAAAAAGCAGTTTCTGAGAATGCTTGTTTCTGGTTTTTATGAGAAGATATTTCCTTTTTCACCATAGGCCTCAAAGCGCTGCAAATGTCCACTTCCAAATATTACAAAAAGAGTGTTTCAAACCTGCTCTATGAAAGGAAGTTTTCAACTCTATGAGTGGAATGCAAACATCACAGAGAAGTTTCTGAGAATGCATCTGTCTTGAGTTTATATGAAGAAATTCCCGTTTCCAATGAAATCTTAAAATCTATCCAAATATCCACCTGCAGATTCTACAAAAGGAGTGTTTCCAAAATGCTGTATCAAAACAAAGGTTCAACTGTGTTCGTTTAGGACACACATCACAAATAAGTTTCTGAGAATCCTTCTGTCTAGTTTTTATTTGAAGATATTTCCTTTCTCCCCACAGGCCTGAAAGCGCTTGAAATGTCCACTTCCAGATACTACAGAAAGAGTGTTTCAAACCTGCACTATGAAAAGGAATGTTCAATTCTGTGACTTGAATGCAAACATCAGAAAGAAGTTCCTGAGAATGCTTCTCTCTAGATTTTATACGTCATCCCGTTTCCAACGAAATCCACAAAGCTATCCAATTATCCACTTTCAGATTCCACAAAGAGTGTTTTAAAATTGCTCTGTAACAGAAATGTTCAACTCTGTTAGTTGAATACACACATCACAAACAAGTTTCTGAGACGGCTTCTGTCTAGTTTTTATGGGAAGATATTTCCTTTTAACCATAGGCCTCAAAGAGCTCGAAATATCCACTTCCAGGTAGTGCCGAAAGAGTGTTTCAAACCTACTCTATAAAAGGGAATATTCAACTCTGTGACTTGAATGCAAACATCACAAAGCAGTTTCTGAGAATGCTTCCGTCTAGATTTTCTATGAAGATATTCCCGTTTCCAACGAAATCTTCAAAGCTATCTAAATATCAACTTGCAGATTCTACTAAAGGAATGTCTCCAAAATGCTGTATCCAAACAAAGGTTCAGCTCTGTGAATTGAGGACATACAGCACAAAGAAGTTTCTGAGAATGCTCCTGTCTGGATTTTATATGAAGATAACCCGTTTCCAACGAAATCCTCAAAGCTATCCAAATATCCACTTGCAGATTCTACCAAAAGAGTGTTTCAAAACTACTCTGTCAAAAGGAAGGTTCAACACTGTTACTTGAGTACACACAACACAAAGAAGTTTCTGAGAATGCTTCTTTCTGGTTTTTATGAGAAGATATTTCCTTTTTCACCATAGGCCTCAAAGCGCTCGAAATGTCCGCTTCCAGGTAGTGCAGAAAGAGTGTTTCAAACCTGCTCTATGAAAGGAAGTGTTCAACTCTACTGAGTTGAATGCAAACATCACAGAGATGTTTCCGAGAATGCTTCTGTCTTGATTTTATATGAAGATATTCCGGTTTCCAACGAAATCTTCAAAGCTATCCACATATCCACCTGCAGATTCTACAAAAGGAGTGTTTCCAAAATGCTGTATCAAAACAAAGGTTCAACTCTGTTAGTTGAGGACACACATCACAAATAAGTTTCTGAGAATGCTTCTGTCTAGTTTTTATTTGAAGGTATTTCCTTTCTCTCCATAGGCCTGAAAGCGCTTGAAATGCCCACTTCCAGATACTAGAGAAAGAGTGTTTCAAACCTGCTCTATGAAAGGGAATGTTCAATTCTGTGACTTGAATGCAAACATCACAAAGAAGTTCCTGAGAATGCTTCTCTCTAGATATTATATGTCATCCCGTTTCCAACGAAATCCTCAAAGCTATCCAAATATCCACTTGCAGATTCTACAAAAAGAGTGTTTCAAAACTGCTCTGTCAAAAGGATGGTTCAACACTGTTACATGAGTACACACAACACAAAGAAGTTTCTGAGAATGCTTCTTTCTGGTTTCTATGAGAAGATATATCCTTTTTCACCATAGGACTCAAAGCGCTCGAAATGTCCTCTTCCAGGTAGTGCAGAAAGAGTGTTTCAAACCTGCTCTATGAAAGGAAGTGTACAACTCCATGAGCTGAATGCAAACATCACTGAGAAGTTTCTGAGAATGCTTCTGTTTGATTTTATATGAAGAAATTCCCGTTTCCAACGAAATCTTCAGAGCTATCCACATATCCACCTGCAGATTCTACAAAAGGAGTGTTTCCAAAATGCTGTATCAAAACCAAGGTTCAACTCTGTTAGTTGAGGACACACATCACAAATAAGTTTCTGAGAATGCTTCTGTCTAGATTTTATATGAAGATATCCCCTTTCCAACGAATCCCTCTAAGCTATCCAAATATCCACCTGCAGATTCTACAAAAAGAGTGTTTCCAAAATGCTGTATCAAAACAAAGGTTCAACTCTGTTAGTTGAGGACACACATCACAAATAAGTTTGAGGATGCTTCTGTCTAGTTTTTATTCGAAGATATTTCCTTTCTCACCATAGGCCTGAAAGCGCTTGAAATGTCCACTTCCAGATACTACAGAATGAGTGTTTCAAACCTGCTCTATCAAAGTGAATGTTCAATTCTGTGACTTCAATGCAAACATCAGAAAGAAGTTCCTGAGAATGCTTCTCTCTAGATTTTATACGTAATCCCGCTTCCAACGAAATCCTCAGAGCCATCCGAATATCCACTTTCTGATTCCACAAAAAGAGTGTTTTAAAACGGCTCTGTAAAAACAAAAGTTCAACTCTGTTAGTTGAATACACACATCACAAACAAGTTTCTGAGAATGCTTCTGTCTAGTTTTTATGGGAAGATATTTCCTTTTTCACCATAGGCCTCAAAGCGCTCGAAATGTCCGCTTCCAGATAGTGCAGAAAGAGTGTTTCAAACGTGCTCTATAAAAGGGAATATTCAACTCTGTGACTTGAATGGAAACATCACAAAGCAGTTTCTGAGAATGCTTCCCTCTAGATTTTATATGGAGATATTCCCTTTTCCAACGAAATCTTCAAATCTATCTAAATATCAACTTGCAGATTCTACTCAAGGAATGTTTCCAAAATGCTGTATCCAAGCAATGGTTCAACTCTGTTAATTGAGGACATACAGCACAAAGAAGTTTCTGAGAATGCTTCTGTCTAGATTTTATATGAAGATATCCCGTTTCCAACGAAATCCTCAAAGCTATCCAAATATCCACTTGCAGATTCTACAAAAAGATTGTTTCAAAACTGCTGTGTCAAAAGGAAGGTTCAACTCTGTTACTTGAGTACACACATCAAAAAGAAGTTTCTGAGAATGCTTGTTTCTGGTTTTTATGAGAAGATATTTCCTTTTTTCACCATAGGCCTCAAAGCGCTGCAAATGTCCACTTCCAAATATTACAAAAAGAGTGTTTCAAACCTGCTCTATGAAAGGAAGTTTTCAACTCTATGAGTGGAATGCAAACATCACAGAGAAGTTTCTGAGAATGCATCTGTCTTGAGTTTATATGCAGAAATTCCCGTTTCCAACGAAATCTTAAAATCTATCCAAATATCCACCTGCAGATCCTACAAAAGGAGTGTTTCCAAAATGCTGTATCAAAACAAAGGTTCAACTGTGTTCGTTTAGGACACACATCACAAATAAGTTTCTGAGAATCCTTCTGTCTAGTTTTTATTTGAAGATATTTCCTTTCTCCCCGTAGGCCTGAAAGCGCTTGAAATGTCCACTTCCAGATACTACAGAAAGAGTGTGTTTCAAACCTGCACTCTGAAAAGGAATGTTCAATTCTGTGACTTGAATGCAAACATCAGAAAGAAGTTCCTGAGAATGCTTCTCTCTAGATTTTAAACGTAATCCCGTTTGCAACGAAATCCACAAAGCTATCCAATTATCCACTTTCAGATTCCACCAAAAGACTGTTTTAAAACTGCTCTGTAAAAAGAAATGTTCAACGCTCTTAGTTGAATACACACATCTCAAACAAGTTTCTGAGAAGGCTTCCGTCTAGTTTTTACGGGAAGATATTTCCTTTTTCACCATAGGCCTCAAAGCGCTCGAAATCTCCACTTCCAGGGAGTGCAGAAAGAGTGTTTCAAACCTGCTCTGTAAAAGAATATTTAACTCTGTGACTTGAATGCAAACATCACAGAGCAGTTTCTGACAATGCTTCCGTCTAGATTTTTTATGAAGATATTCCCGTTTCCAACGAAATCTTCAAAGCTATCTAAATATCAACTTGCAGATTCTACTAAAGGAATGTTTCCAAAATGCTGTATCCAAACAAAGGTTCAACTCTGTGAATTGAGGACATACAGCACAAAGAAGTTTCTGAGAATGCTTCTGTCTAGATTTAATATGAAGATAACCCGTTTCCAACGAAATCCTCAAAGCTATCCAAATATCCACTTGCAGATTCTACAAAAAGAGTGTTTCAAAACTGCTCTGTCAAAAGGATGGTTCAACACTGTTACATGAGTACACACAACACAAAGAAGTTTCTGAGAACGCTTCTTTCTGGTTTTTATGAGAGGATATTTCCTTTTTCACCATAGGTCTCAAAGCGCTCGAAATGTCCACTTCCAGGTAGTGCAGAAAGAGTGTTTCAAACCTGCTCTATGAAAGGAAGTGTTCAACTCCATGAGCTGAATGCAAACATCACAGAGAAGTTTCTGAGAATGCTTCTGTTTGATTTTATATGAAGAAATTCCCGTTTCCAACGAAATCTTCAAAGCTATCCACATATCCACCTGCAGATACTACAAAAGGAGTGTTTCCAAAATGCTGTATCAAAACCAAGGTTCCACTCTGTTAGTTGAGGACACACATCACAAATAAGTTTCTGAGAATGCTTCTGTCTAGATTTTATATGAAGATATCCCCTTTCCAACGAATCCCTCTAAGCTATCCAAATATCCACCTGCAGATTCTACAAAAAGAGTGTTTCCAAAATGCTGTATCAAAACAAAGTTTCAACTCTGTTAGTTGAGGACACACATCACAAATAAGTTTCTGAGGATGCTTCTCTCTAGTTTTTATTTGAAGATATTTCCTTTCTCCCCATAGGCCTGAAAGCGCTTGAATTGTCCGCTTCCAGATACTACAGAATGAGTGTTTCAAACCTGCTCTATCAAAGTGAATGTTCAATTCTGTGACTTCAATGCAAACATCACAAAGTAGTTCCTGAGAATGCTTCTCTCTAGATTTTATATGTAATCCCGCTTCCAACGAAGTCCTCAAAGCCATCCGAATATCCACTTTCTGATTCCACAAAAAGATTGTCTTAAAACTGCTCTGTAAATACAAAAGTTCAAGTCTGTTAGTTGAATACACACATCATAAACAAGTTTCTGAGAATGCTTCTGTCTAGTTTTTATGGGAAGATATTTCCTTTTTCACCATAGGCCTCACAGCGCTCGAAATGTCCACTTCCAGATAGTGCAGAAAGAGTGTTTCAAACGTGCTCTATAAAAGAGAATATTCAACTCTGTGACTTGAATGGAAACATCACAAAGCAGTTTCTGAGAATGCCTCCGTCTAGATTTTATATGAAGATATTCCCGTTTCCAACGAAATCTTCAAATCTATCTAAATATCAACTTGCAGATTCTACTAAAGGAATGTTTCCAAAATGCTGTATCCAAGCAATGGTTCAACTCTGTTAATTGAGGACATACAGCACAAAGAAGTTTCTGAGAATGCTTCTGTCTAGATTTTATATGAAGATATCCCGTTTGCAACGAAATCCTCAAAGCTATCCAAATATCCACTTGCAGATTCTACAAAAAGATTGTTTCAAAACTGCTGTGTCAAAAGGAAGGTTCAACTCTGTTACTTGAGTACACACATCAAAAAGAAGTTTCTGAGAAAGCTTGTTTCTGGTTTTTATGAGAAGATATTTCCTTTTTCACCATAGGCCTCAAAGCGCTGCAAATGTCCACTTCCAAATATTACAAAAAGAGTGTTTCAAACCTGCTCTATGAAAGGAAGTTTTCAACTCTATGAGTGGAATGCAAACATCACAGAGAAGTTTCTGAGAATGCATCTGTCTTGAGTTTATATGAAGAAATTCCCGTTTCCAACGAAATCTTAAAATCTATCCAAATATCCACCTGCAGATTCTACAAAAGGAGTGTTTCCAAAACGCTCTATCAAAACAAAGGTTCAACTGTGTTCGTTTAGGACACACATCACCAAAAAGTTTCTGAGAATCCTTCTGTCTAGTTTTTATTTGAAGATATTTCCTTTCTCCCCACAGGCCTGAAAGCGCTTGAAATGTCCACTTCCAGATACTACAGAAAGAGTGTTTCAAACCTGCACTATGAAAAGGAATGTTCAATTCTGTGACTTGAATGCAAACATCAGAAAGAAGTTCCTGAGAATGCTTCTCTCTAGATTTTATACGTCATCCCGTTTCCAACGAAATCCACAAAGCTATCCAATTATCCACTTTCAGATTCCACAAAAAGAGTGTTTTAAAATTGCTCTGTAACAGAAATGTTCAACTCTGGTAGTTGAATACACACATCACAAACAAGTTTCTGAGACGGCTTCTGTCTAGTTTTTATGGGAAGATATTTCCTTTTAACCATAGGCCTCAAAGAGCTCGAAATATCCACTTCCAGGTAGTGCCGAAAGAGTGTTTCAAACCTACTCTATAAAAGGGAATATTCAACTCTGTGACTTGAATGCAAACATCACAAAGCAGTTTCTGAGAATGCTTCCGTCTAGATTTTCTATGAAGATATTCCCGTTTCCAACGAAATCTTCAAAGCTATCTAAATATCAACTTGCAGATTCTACTAAAGGAATGTCTCCAAAATGCTGTATCCAAACAAAGGTTCAGCTCTGTGAATTGAGGACATACAGCACAAAGAAGTTTCTGAGAATGCTCCTGTCTGGATTTTATAGGAAGATAACCCGTTTCCAACGAAATCCTCAAAGCTATCCAAATATCCACTTGCAGATTCTACCAAAAGAGTGTTTCAAAACTGCTCTGTCAAAAGGAAGGTTCAACACTGTTACTTGAGTACACACAACACAAAGAAGTTTCTGAGAATGCTTCTTTCTGGTTTTTATGAGAAGATATTTCCTTTTTCACCATAGGCCTCAAAGCGCTCGAAATGTCCGCTTCCAGGTAGTGCAGAAAGAGTGTTTCAAACCTGCTCTATGAAAGGAAGTGTTCAACTCTACTGAGTTGAATGCAAACATCACAGAGATGTTTCCGAGAATGCTTCTGTCTTGATTTTATATGAAGATATTCCGGTTTCCAACGAAATCTTCAAAGCTATCCAAATATCCACCTGCAGATTCTACAAAAGGAGTGTTTCCAAAATGCTGTATCAAAACAAAGGTTCAACTCTGTTAGTTGAGGACACACATCACAAATAAGTTTCTGAGAATGCTTCTGTCTAGTTTTTATTTGAAGGTATTTCCTTTCTCTCCATAGGCCTGAAAGCGCTTGAAATGCCCACTTCCAGATACTAGAGAAAGAGTGTTTCAAACCTGCTCTATGAAAGGGAATGTTCAATTCTGTGACTTGAATGCAAACATCACAAAGAAGTTCCTGAGAATGCTTCTCTCTAGATATTATATGTCATCCCGTTTCCAACGAAATCCTCAAAGCTATCCAAATATCCACTTGCAGATTCTACAAAAAGAGTGTTTCAAAACTGCTCTGTCAAAAGGATGGTTCAACACTGTTACATGAGTACACACAACACAAAGAAGTTTCTGAGAATGCTTCTTTCTGGTTTCTATGAGAAGATATTTCCTTTTTCACCATAGGACTCAAAGCGCTCGAAATGTCCTCTTCCAGGTAGTGCAGAAAGAGTGTTTCAAACCGGCTCTATGAAGGGAAGTGTTCAACTCCATGAACTGAATGCAAACATCACTGAGAAGTTTCTGAGAATGCTTCTGTTTGATTTTATATGAAGAAATTCCGTTTTCCAACGAAATCTTCAGAGCTATCCACATATCCACCTGCAGATTCTACAAAAGGAGTGTTTCCAAAATGCTGTATCAAAACCAAGGTTCAACTCTGTTAGTTGAGGACACACATCACAAATAAGTTTCTGAGAATGCTTCTGTCTAGATTTTATATGAAGATATCCCCTTTCCAACGAATCCCTCTAAGCTATCCAAATATCCACCTGCAGATTCTACAAAAAGAGTGTTTACAAAATGCTGTATCAAAACAAAGTTTCAACTCTGTTAGTTGAGGACACACATCACAAATAAGTTTCTGAGGATGCCTCTGTCTAGTTTTTATTTGAAGATATTTCCTTTCTCACCATAGGCCTGAAAGCGCTTGAAATGTCCACTTCCAGATCCTACAGAATGAGTGTTTCAAACCTGCTCTATCAAAGTGAATGTTCAATTCTGTGACTTCAATGCAAACATCACAAAGAAGTTCCTGAGAATGCTTCTCTCTAGATTTTATATGTAATCCCGCTTCCAACGAAATCCTCAGAGCCATCCGAATATCCACTTTCTGATTCCACAAAAAGAGTGTTTTAAAATGGCTCTGTAAAAACAAAAGTTCAACTCTGTTAGTTGAATACACACATCACAAACAAGTTTCTGAGAATGCTTCTGTCTAGTTTTTATGGGAAGATATTTCCTTTTTCACCATAGGCCTCAAAGCGCTCGAAATGTCCACTTCCAGATAGTGCAGAAAGAGTGTTTCAAACGTGCTCTATAAAAGGGAATATTCAACTCTGTGACTTGAATGGAAACATCACAAAGCAGTTTCTGAGAATGCTTCCCTCTAGATTTTATATGGAGATATTCCCTTTTCCAACGAAATCTTCAAATCTATCTAAATATCAACTTGCAGATTCTACTAAAGGAATGTTTCCAAAATGCTGTATCCAAGCAATGGTTCAACTCTGTTAATTGAGGACATACAGCACAAAGAAGTTTCTGAGAATGCTTCTGTCTAGATTTTATATGAAGATATCCCGTTTCCAACGAAATCCTCAAAGCTATCCAAATATCCACTTGCAGATTCTACAAAAAGATTGTTTCAAAACTGCTGTGTCAAAAGGAAGGTTCAACTCTGTTACTTGAGTACACACATCAAAAAGAAGTTTCTGAGAATGCTTGTTTCTGGTTTTTATGAGAAGATATTTCCTTTTTCACCATAGGCCTCAAAGCGCTGCAAATGTCCACTTCCAAATATTACAAAAAGAGTGTTTCAAACCTGCTCTATGAAAGGAAGTTTTCAACTCTATGAGTGGAATGCAAACATCACAGAGAAGTTTCTGAGAATGCATCTGTCTTGAGCTTCTATGAAGAAATTCCCGTTTCCAACGAAATCTTAAAATCTATCCAAATATCCACCTGCAGATCCTACAAAAGGAGTGTTTCCAAAATGCTGTATCAAAACAAAGGTTCAACTGTGTTCGTTTAGGACACACATCACAAATAAGTTTCTGAGAATCCTTCTCTCTAGTTTTTATTTGAAGATATTTCCTTTCTCCCCGTAGGCCTGAAAGCGCTTGAAATGTCCACTTCCAGATACTACAGAAAGAGTGTTTCAAACCTGCACTCTGAAAAGGAATGTTCAATTCTGTGACTTGAATGCAAACATCAGAAAGAAGTTCCTGAGAATGCTTCTCTCTAGATTTTATACGTCATCCCGTTTCCAACGAAATCCACAAAGCTATCCAATTATCCACTTTCAGATTCCACAAAAAGAGTGTTTTAAAATTGCTCTGTAACAGAAATGTTCAACTCTGTTAGTTGAATACACACATCACAAACAAGTTTCTGAGACGGCTTCTGTCTAGTTTTTATGGGAAGATATTTCCTTTTAACCATAGGCCTCAAAGAGCTCGAAATATCCACTTCCAGGTAGTGCCGAAAGAGTGTTTCAAACCTACTCTATAAAAGGGAATATTCAACTCTGTGACTTGAATGCAAACATCACAAAGCAGTTTCTGAGAATGCTTCCGTCTAGATTTTCTATGAAGATATTCCCGTTTCCAACGAAATCTTCAAAGCTATCTAAATATCAACTTGCAGATTCTACTAAAGGAATGTCTCCAAAATGCTGTATCCAAACAAAGGTTCAGCTCTGTGAATTGAGGACATACAGCACAAAGAAGTTTCTGAGAATGCTCCTGTCTGGATTTTATATGAAGATAACCCGTTTCCAACGAAATCCTCAAAGCTCTCCAAATATCCACTTGCAGATTCTACCAAAAGAGTGTTTCAAAACTGCTCTGTCAAAAGGAAGGTTCAACACTGTTACTTGAGTACACACAACACAAAGAAGTTTCTGAGAATGCTTCTTTCTGGTTTTTATGAGAAGATATTTCCTTTTTCACCATAGGCCTCAAAGCGCTCGAAATGTCCGCTTCCAGGTAGTGCAGAAAGAGTGTTTCAAACCTGCTCTATGAAAGGAAGTGTTCAACTCTACTGAGTTGAATGCAAACATCACAGAGATGTTTCCGAGAATGCTTCTGTCTTGATTTTATATGAAGATATTCCGGTTTCCAACGAAATCTTCAAAGCTATCCAAATATCCACCTGCAGATTCTACAAAAGGAGTGTTTCCAAAATGCTGTATCAAAACAAAGGTTCAACTCTGTTAGTTGAGGACACACATCACAAATAAGTTTCTGAGAATGCTTCTGTCTAGTTTTTATTTGAAGGTATTTCCTTTCTCTCCATAGGCCTGAAAGCGCTTGAAATGCCCACTTCCAGATACTAGAGAAAGAGTGTTTCAAACCTGCTCTATGAAAGGGAATGTTCAATTCTGTGACTTGAATGCAAACATCACAAAGAAGTTCCTGAGAATGCTTCTCTCTAGATATTATATGTCATCCCGTTTCCAACGAAATCCTCAAAGCTATCCAAATATCCACTTGCAGATTCTACAAAAAGAGTGTTTCTAAACTGCTCTGTCAAAAGGATGGTTCAACACTGTTACATGAGTACACACAACACAAAGAAGTTTCTGAGAATGCTTCTTTCTGGTTTCTATGAGAAGATATTTCGTTTTTCACCATAGGACTCAAAGCGCTCGAAATGTCCTCTTCCAGGTAGTGCAGAAAGAGTGTTTCAAACCTGCTCTATGAAAGGAAGTGTTCAACTCCATGAGCTGAATGCAAACATCACTGAGAAGTTTCTAAGAATGCTTCTGTTTGATTTTATATGAAGAAATTCCCGTTTCCAACGAAATCTTCAAAGCTATCCACATATCCACCTGCAGATTCTACAAAAGAAGTGTTTCCAAAATGCTGTATCAAAACCAAGGTTCAACTCTGTTAGTTGAGGACACACATCACAAATAAGTTTCTGAGAATGCTTCTGTCTAGATTTTATATGAAGATATCCCCTTTCCAACGAATCCCTCTAAGCTATCCAAATATCCACCTGCAGATTCTACAAAAAGAGTGTTTCCAAAATGCTGTATCAAAACAAAGTTTTAACTCTGTTAGTTGAGGACACACATCACAAATAAGTTTCTGAGGATGCTTCTGTCTAGTTTTTATTCGAAGATATTTCCTTTCCCACCATAGGCCTGAAAGCGCTTGAAATGTCCACTTCCAGATACTACAGAATGAGTGTTTCAAACCTGCTCTATCAAAGTGAATGTTCAATTCTGTGACTTCAATGCAAACATCACAAAGAAGTTCCTGAGAATGCTTCTCTCTAGATTTTATATGTAATCCCGCTTCCAACGAAATCTTCAGAGCCATCCGAATATCCACTTTCTGATTCCACAAAAAGAGTGTTTTAAAACGGCTCTGTAAAAACAAAAGTTCAACTCTGTTAGTTGAATACACACATCACAAACAAGTTTCTGAGAATGCTTCTGTCTAGTTTTTATGGGAAGATATTTCCTTTTTCACCATAGGCCTCAAAGCGCTCGAAATGTCCACTTCCAGATAGTGCAGAAAGATTGTTTCAAACGTGCTCTATAAAAGGGAATATTCAACTCTGTGACTTGAATGGAAACATCATAAAGCAGTTTCTGAGAATGCTTCCCTCTAGATTTTATATGGAGATATTCCCTTTTCCAACGAAATCTTCAAATCTATCTAAGTATCAACTTGCAGATTCTACTCAAGGAATGTTTCCAAAATGCTGTATCCAAGCAATGGTTCAACTCTGTTAATTGAGGACATACAGCACAAAGAAGTTTCTGAGAATGCTTCTGTCTAGATTTTATATGAAGATATCCCGTTTCCAACGAAATCATCAAAGCTATCCAAATATCCACTTGCAGATTCTACAAAAAGATTGTTTCAAAACTGCTGTGTCAAAAGGAAGGTTCAACTCTGTTATTTGAGTACACACATCAAAAAGAAGTTTCTGAGAATGCTTGTTTCTGGTTTTTATGAGAAGATATTTCCTTTTTCACCATAGGCCTCAAAGCGCTGCAAAGGTCCACTTCCAAATATTACAAAAAGAGTGTTTCAAACCTGCTCTATGAAAGGAAGTTTTCAACTCTATGAGTGGAATGCAAACATCACAGAGAAGTTTTCTGAGAATGCATCTGTCTTGAGTTTATATGCAGAAATTCCCGTTTCCAACGAAATCTTAAAATCTATCCAAATATGCACCTGCAGATTCTACAAAAGGAGTGTTTCCAAAATGCTGTATCAAAACAAAGGTTCAACTGTGTTCGTTTAGGACACACATCACAAATAAGTTTCTGAGAATCCTTCTGTCTAGTTTTTATTTGAAGATATTTCCTTTCTCCCCATAGGCCTGAAAGAGCTTGAAATGTCCACTTCCAGATACTACAGAAAGAGTGTTTCAAACCTGCACTCTGAAAAGGAATGTCAATTCTGTGACTTGAATGCAAACATCAGAAAGAAGTTCCTGAGAATGCTTCTCTCTAGATTTTATACGTCATCCCGTTTCCAACGAAATCCACAAAGCTACCCAATTATCCACTTTCAGATTCCACAAAAAGAGTGTTTTAAAATTGCTCTGTAACAGAAATGTTCAACTCTGTTAGTTGAATACACACATCACAAACAAGTTTCTGAGACGGCTTCTGTCTAGTTTTTATGGGAAGATATTTCCTTTTAACCATAGGCCTCAAAGAGCTCGAAATATCCACTTCCAGGTAGTGCCGAAAGAGTGTTTCAAACCTACTCTATAAAAGGGAATATTCAACTCTGTGACTTGAATGCAAACATCACAAAGCAGTTTCTGAGAATGCTTCCGTCTAGATTTTCTATGAAGATATTCCCGTTTCCAACGAAATCTTCAAAGCTATCTAAATATCAACTTGCAGATTCTACTAAAGGAATGTCTCCAAAATGCTGTATCCAAACAAAGGTTCAGCTCTGTGAATTGAGGACATACAGCACAAAGAAGTTTCTGAGAATGCTCCTGTCTGGATTTTATATGAAGATAACCCGTTTCCAACGAAATCCTCAAAGCTATCCAAATATCCACTTGCAGATTCTACCAAAAGAGTGTTTCAAAACTGCTCTGTCAAAAGGAAGGTTCAACACTGTTACTTGAGTACACACAACACAAAGAAGTTTCTGAGAATGCTTCTTTCTGGTTTTTATGAGAAGATATTTCCTTTTTCACCATAGGCCTCAAAGCGCTCGAAATGTCCGCTTCCAGGTAGGGCAGAAAGAGTGTTTCAAACCTGCTCTATGAAAGGACGTGTTCAACTCTACTGAGTTGAATGCAAACATCACAGAGATGTTTCCGAGAATGCTTCTGTCTTGATTTTATAGGAAGATATTCCGGTTTCCAACGAAATCTTCAAAGCTATCCACATATCCACCTGCAGATTCTACAAAAGGAGTGTTTCCAAAATGCTGTATCAAAACAAAGGTTCAACTCTGTTAGTTGAGGACACACATCACAAATAAGTTTCTGAGAATGCTTCTGTCTAGTTTTTATTTGAAGGTATTTCCTTTCTCTCCATAGGCCTGAAAGCGCTTGAAATGCCCACTTCCAGATACTAGAGAAAGAGTGTTTCAAACCTGCTCTATGAAAGGGAATGTTCAATTCTGTGACTTGAATGCAAACATCACAAAGAAGTTCCTGAGAATGCTTCTCTCTAGATATTATATGTCATCCCGTTTCCAACGAAATCCTCAAAGCTATCCAAATATCCACTTGCAGATTCTACAAAAAGAGTGTTTCAAAACTGCACTGTCAAAAGGATGGTTCAACACTGTTACATGAGTACACACAACACAAAGAAGTTTCTGAGAATGCTTCTTTCTGGTTTCTATGAGAAGATATTTCCTTTTTCACCATAGGACTCAAAGCGCTCGAAATGTCCTCTTCCAGGTAGTGCAGAAAGAGTGTTTCAAACCGGCTCTATGAAAGGAAGTGTTCAACTCCATGAACTGAATGCAAACATCACTGAGAAGTTTCTGAGAATGCTTCTGTTTGATTTTATATGAAGAAATTCCCGTTTCCAACGAAATCTTCAGAGCTATCCACATATCCACCTGCAGATTCTACAAAAGGAGTGTTTCCAAAATGCTGTATCAAAACCAAAGTTCAACTCTGTTAGTTGAGGACACACATCACAAATAAGTTTCTGAGAATGCTTCTGTCTAGATTCTATATGAAGATATCCCCTTTCCAACGAATCCCTCTAAGCTATCCAAATATCCACCTGCAGATTCTACAAAAAGAGTGTTTCCAAAATGCTGTATCAAAACAAAGTTTCAACTCTGTTAGTTGAGGACACACATCACAAATAAGTTTGAGGATGCTTCTGTCTAGTTTTTATTCGAAGATATTTCCTTTCTCACCATAGGCCTGAAAGCGCTTGAAATGTCCACTTCCAGATACTACCGAATGAGTGTTTCAAACCTGCTCTATCAAAGTGAATGTTCAATTCTGTGACTTCAATGCAAACATCACAAAGAAGTTCCTGAGAATGCTTCTCTCTAGATTTTATATGTAATCCCGCTTCCAACGAAATCCTCAGAGCCATCCGAATATCCACTTTCTGATTCCACAAAAAGAGTGTTTTAAAACGGCTCTGTAAAAACAAAAGTTCAACTCTGTTAGTTGAATACACACATCACAAACAAGTTTCTGAGAATGCTTCTGTCTAGTTTTTATGGGAAGATATTTCCTTTTTCACCATAGGCCTCAAAGCGCTCGAAATGTCCACTTCCAGATAGCACAGAAAGAGTGTTTCAAACGTGCTCTATAAAAGGGAATATTCAACTCTGTGACTTGAATGGAAACATCACAAAGCAGTTTCTGAGAATGCTTCCCTCTAGATTTTATATGGAGATATTCCGTTTTCGAACGAAATCTTCAAATCTATCTAAATATCAACTTGCAGATTCTACTCAAGGAATGTTTCCAAAATGCTGTATGCAAGCAATGGTTCAACTCTGTTAATTGAGGTCATACAGCACAAAGAAGTTTCTGAGAATGCTTCTGTCTAGATTTTATATGAAGATATCCCGTTTCCAACGAAATCCTCAAAGCTATCCAAATATCCACTTGCAGATTCTACAAAAAGATTGTTTCAAAACTGCTGTGTCAAAAGGAAGGTTCAACTCTGTTACTTGAGTACACACATCAAAAAGAAGTTTCTGAGAATGCTTGTTTCTGGTTTTTATGAGAAGATATTTCCTTTTTCACCATAGGCCTCAAAGCGCTGCAAATGTCCACTTCCAAATATTACAAAAAGAGTGTTTCAAACCTGCTCTATGAAAGGAAGTTTTCAACTCTATGAGTGGAATGCAAACATCACAGAGAAGTTTCTGAGAATGCATCTGTCTTGAGCTTCTATGAAGAAATTCCCGTTTCCAACGAAATCTTAAAATCTATCCAAATATCCACCTGCAGATCCTACAAAAGGAGTGTTTCCAAAATGCTGTATCAAAACAAAGGTTCAACTGTGTTCGTTTAGGACACACATCACAAATAAGTTTCTGAGAATCCTTCTGTCTAGTTTTTATTTGAAGATATTTCCTTTCTCCCCGTAGGCCTGAAAGCGCTTGAAATGTCCACTTCCAGATACTACAGAAAGAGTGTTTCAAACCTGCACTCTGAAAAGGAATGTTCAATTCTGTGACTTGAATGCAAACATCAGAAAGAAGTTCCTGAGAATGCTTCTCTCTAGATTTTATACGTCATCCCGTTTCCAACGAAATCCACAAAGCTATCCAATTATCCACTTTCAGATTCCACAAAGAGTGTTTTAAAATTGCTCTGTAACAGAAATGTTCAACTCTGTTAGTTGAATACACACATCACAAACAAGTTTCTGAGACGGCTTCTGTCTAGTTTTTATGGGAAGATATTTCCTTTTAACCATAGGCCTCAAAGAGCTCGAAATATCCACTTCCAGGTAGTGCCGAAAGAGTGTTTCAAACCTACTCTATAAAAGGGAATATTCAACTCTGTGACTTGAATGCAAACATCACAAAGCAGTTTCTGAGAATGCTTCCGTCTAGATTTTCTATGAAGATATTCCCGTTTCCAACGAAATCTTCAAAGCTATCTAAATATCAACTTGCAGATTCTACTAAAGGAATGTCTCCAAAATGCTGTATCCAAACAAAGGTTCAGCTCTGTGAATTGAGGACATACAGCACAAAGAAGTTTCTGAGAATGCTCCTGTCTGGATTTTATATGAAGATAACCCGTTTCCAACGAAATCCTCAAAGCTATCCAAATATCCACTTGCAGATTCTACCAAAAGAGTGTTTCAAAACTGCTCTGTCAAAAGGAAGGTTCAACACTGTTACTTGAGTACACACAACACAAAGAAGTTTCTGAGAATGCTTCTTTCTGGTTTTTATGAGAAGATATTTCCTTTTTCACCATAGGCCTCAAAGAGCTCGAAATGTCCGCTTCCAGGTAGGGCAGAAAGAGTGTTTCAAACCTGCTCTATGAAAGGAAGTGTTCAACTCTACTGAGTTGAATGCAAACATCACAGAGATGTTTCCGAGAATGCTTCTGTCTTGATTTTATAGGAAGATATTCCGGTTTCCAACGAAATCTTCAAAGCTATCCAAATATCCACCTGCAGATTCTACAAAAGGAGTGTTTCCAAAATGCTGTATCAAAACAAAGGTTCAACTCTGTTAGTTGAGGACACACATCACAAATAAGTTTCTGAGAATGCTTCTGTCTAGTTTTTATTTGAAGGTATTTCCTTTCTCTCCATAGGCCTGAAAGCGCTTGAAATGCCCACTTCCAGATACTAGAGAAAGAGTGTTTCAAACCTGCTCTATGAAAGGGAATGTTCAATTCTGTGACTTGAATGCAAACATCACAAAGAAGTTCCTGAGAATGCTTCTCTCTAGATATTATATGTCATCCCGTTTCCAACGAAATCCTCAAAGCTATCCAAATATCCACTTGCAGATTCTACAAAAAGAGTGTTTCAAAACTGCTCTGTCAAAAGGATGGTTCAACACTGTTACATGAGTACACACAACACAAAGAAGTTTCTGAGAATGCTTCTTTCTGGTTTCTATGAGAAGATATTTCCTTTTTCACCATAGGACTCAAAGCGCTCGAAATGTCCTCTTCCAGGTAGTGCAGAAACAGTGTTTCAAACCGGCTCTATGAAGGGAAGTGTTCAACTCCATGAACTGAATGCAAACATCACTGAGAAGTTTCTGAGAATGCTTCTGTTTGATTTTATATGAAGAAATTCCCGTTTCCAACGAAATCTTCAGAGCTATCCACATATCCACATGCAGATTCTACAAAAGGAGTGTTTCCAAAATGCTGTATCAAAACCAAGGTTCAACTCTGTTAGTTGAGGACACACATCACAAATAAGTTTCTGAGAATGCTTCTGTCTAGATTTTATATGAAGATATCCCCTTTCCAACGAATCCCTCTAAGCTATCCAAATATCCACCTGCAGATTCTACAAAAAGAGTGTTTCCAAAATGCTGTATCAAAACAAAGTTTCAACTCTGTTAGTTGAGGACACACATCACAAATAAGTTTCTGAGGATGCTTCTGTCTAGTTTTTATTCGAAGATATTTCCTTTCTCACCATAGGCCTGAAAGCGCTTGAAATGTCCACTTCCAGATACTACAGAATGAGTGTTTCAAACCTGCTCTATCAAAGTGAATGTTCAATTCTGTGACTTCAATGCAAACATCACAAAGAAGTTCCTGAGAATGCTTCTCTCTAGATTTTATACGTAATCCCGCTTCCAACGAAATCCTCAGAGCCATCCGAATATCCACTTTCTGATTCCACAAAAAGAGTGTTTTAAAACGGCTCTGTAAAAACAAAAGTTCAACTCTGTTAGTTGAATACACACATCACAAACAAGTTTCTGAGAATGCTTCTGTCTAGTTTTTATGGGAAGATATTTCCTTTTTCACCATAGGCCTCAAAGCGCTCGAAATGTCCACTTCCAGATAGCGCAGAAAGAGTGTTTCAAACGTGCTCTATAAAAGGGAATATTCAACTCTGTGACTTGAATGGAAACATCACAAAGCAGTTTCTGAGAATGCTTCCCTCTAGATTTTATATGGAGATATTCCGTTTTCGAACGAAATCTTCAAATCTATCTAAATATCAACTTGCAGATTCTACTCAAGGAATGTTTCCAAAATGCTGTATGCAAGCAATGGTTCAACTCTGTTAATTGAGGTCATACAGCACAAAGAAGTTTCTGAGAATGCTTCTGTCTAGATTTTATATGAAGATATCCCGTTTCCAACGAAATCCTCAAAGCTATCCAAATATCCACTTGCAGATTCTACAAAAAGATTGTTTCAAAACTGCTGTGTCAAAAGGAAGGTTCAACTCTGTTACTTGAGTACACACATCAAAAAGAAGTTTCTGAGAATGCTTGTTTCTGGTTTTTATGAGAAGATATTTCCTTTTTCACCATAGGCCTCAAAGCGCTGCAAATGTCCACTTCCAAATATTACAAAAAGAGTGTTTCAAACCTGCTCTATGAAAGGAAGTTTTCAACTCTATGAGTGGAATGCAAACATCACAGAGAAGTTTCTGAGAATGCATCTGTCTTGAGCTTCTATGAAGAAATTCCCGTTTCCAACGAAATCTTAAAATCTATCCAAATATCCACCTGCAGATCCTACAAAAGGAGTGTTTCCAAAATGCTGTATCAAAACAAAGGTTCAACTGTGTTCGTTTAGGACACACATCACAAATAAGTTTCTGAGAATCCTTCTGTCTAGTTTTTATTTGAAGATATTTCCTTTCTCCCCGTAGGCCTGAAAGCGCTTGAAATGTCCACTTCCAGATACTACAGAAAGAGTGTTTCAAACCTGCACTCTGAAAAGGAATGTTCAATTCTGTGACTTGAATGCAAACATCAGAAAGAAGTTCCTGAGAATGCTTCTCTCTAGATTTTATACGTCATCCCGTTTCCAACGAAATCCACAAAGCTATCCAATTATCCACTTTCAGATTCCACAAAGAGTGTTTTAAAATTGCTCTGTAACAGAAATGTTCAACTCTGTTAGTTGAATACACACATCACAAACAAGTTTCTGAGACGGCTTCTGTCTAGTTTTTATGGGAAGATATTTCCTTTTAACCATAGGCCTCAAAGAGCTCGAAATATCCACTTCCAGGTAGTGCCGAAAGAGTGTTTCAAACCTACTCTATAAAAGGGAATATTCAACTCTGTGACTTGAATGCAAACATCACAAAGCAGTTTCTGAGAATGCTTCCGTCTAGATTTTCTATGAAGATATTCCCGTTTCCAACGAAATCTTCAAAGCTATCTAAATATCAACTTGCAGATTCTACTAAAGGAACGTCTCCAAAATGCTGTATCCAAACAAAGGTTCAGCTCTGTGAATTGAGGACATACAGCACAAAGAAGTTTCTGAGAATGCTCCTGTCTGGATTTTATATGAAGATAACCCGTTTCCAACGAAATCCTCAAAGCTCTCCAAATATCCACTTGCAGATTCTACCAAAAGAGTGTTTCAAAACTGCTCTGTCAAAAGGAAGGTTCAACACTGTTACTTGAGTACACACAACACAAAGAAGTTTCTGAGAATGCTTCTTTCTGGTTTTTATGAGAAGATATTTCCTTTTTCACCATAGGCCTCAAAGCGCTCGAAATGTCCGCTTCCAGGTAGTGCAGAAAGAGTGTTTCAAACCTGCTCTATGAAAGGAAGTGTTCAACTCTACTGAGTTGAATGCAAACATCACAGAGATGTTTCCGAGAATGCTTCTGTCTTGATTTTATATGAAGATATTCCGGTTTCCAACGAAATCTTCAAAGCTATCCAAATATCCACCTGCAGATTCTACAAAAGGAGTGTTTCCAAAATGCTGTATGAAAACAAAGGTTCAACTCTGTTAGTTGAGGACACACATCACAAATAAGTTTCTGAGAATGCTTCTGTCTAGTTTTTATTTGAAGGTATTTCCTTTCTCTCCATAGGCCTGAAAGCGCTTGAAATGCCCACTTCCAGATACTAGAGAAAGAGTGTTTCAAACCTGCTCTATGAAAGGGAATGTTCAATTCTGTGACTTGAATGCAAACATCACAAAGAAGTTCCTGAGAATGCTTCTCTCTAGATATTATATGTCATCCCGTTTCCAACGAAATCCTCAAAGCTATCCAAATATCCACTTGCAGATTCTACAAAAAGAGTGTTTCAAAACTGCTCTGTCAAAAGGATGGTTCAACACTGTTACATGAGTACACACAACACAAAGAAGTTTCTGAGAATGCTTCTTTCTGGTTTCTATGAGAAGATATTTCCTTTTTCACCATAGGACTCAAAGCGCTCGAAATGTCCTCTTCCAGGTAGTGCAGAAAGAGTGTTTCAAACCTGCTCTATGAAAGGAAGTGTACAACTCCATGAGCTGAATGCAAACATCACTGAGAAGTTTCTGAGAATGCTTCTGTTTGATTTTATATGAAGAAATTCCCGTTTCCAACGAAATCTTCAGAGCTATCCACATATCCACATGCAGATTCTACAAAAGGAGTGTTTCCAAAATGCTGTATCAAAACCAAGGTTCAACTCTGTTAGTTGAGGACACACATCACAAATAAGTTTCTGAGAATGCTTCTGTCTAGATTTTATATGAAGATATCCCCTTTCCAACGAATCCCTCTAAGCTATCCAAATATCCACCTGCAGATTCTACAAAAAGAGTGTTTCCAAAATGCTGTATCAAAACAAAGGTTCAACTCTGTTAGTTGAGGACACACATCACAAATAAGTTTGAGGATGCTTCTGTCTAGTTTTTATTCGAAGATATTTCCTTTCTCACCATAGGCCTGAAAGCGCTTGAAATGTCCACTTCCAGATACTACAGAATGAGTGTTTCAAACCTGCTCTATCAAAGTGAATGTTCAATTCTGTGACTTCAATGCAAACATCACAAAGAAGTTCCTGAGAATGCTTCTCTCTAGATTTTATATGTAATCCCGCTTCCAACGAAATCCTCAGAGCCATCCGAATATCCACTTTCTGATTCCACAAAAAGAGTGTTTTAAAACGGCTCTGTAAAAACAAAAGTTCAACTCTGTTAGTTGAATACACACATCACAAACAAGTTTCTGAGAATGCTTCTGTCTAGTTTTTATGGGAAGATATTTCCTTTTTCACCATAGGCCTCAAAGCGCTCGAAATGTCCACTTCCAGATAGCGCAGAAAGAGTGTTTCAAACGTGCTCTATAAAAGGGAATATTCAACTCTGTGACTTGAATGGAAACATCACAAAGCAGTTTCTGAGAATGCTTCCCTCTAGATTTTATATGGAGATATTCCGTTTTCGAACGAAATCTTCAAATCTATCTAAATATCAACTTGCAGATTCTACTCAAGGAATGTTTCCAAAATGCTGTATGCAAGCAATGGTTCAACTCTGTTAATTGAGGTCATACAGCACAAAGAAGTTTCTGAGAATGCTTTTCTGTCTAGATTTTATATGAAGATATCCCGTTTCCAACGAAATCCTCAAAGCTATCCAAATATCCACTTGCAGATTCTACAAAAAGATTGTTTCAAAACTGTTGTGTCAAAAGGAAGGTTCAACTCTGTTACTTGAGTACACACATCAAAAAGAAGTTTCTGAGAATGCTTGTTTCTGGTTTTTATGAGAAGATATTTCCTTTTTCACCATAGGCCTCAAAGCGCTGCAAATGTCCACTTCCAAATATTACAAAAAGAGTGTTTCAAACCTGCTCTATGAAAGGAAGTTTTCAACTCTATGAGTGGAATGCACACATCACAGAGAAGTTTCTGAGAATGCATCTGTCTTGAGTTTCTATGCAGAAATTCCCGTTTCCAACGAAATCTTAAAATCTATCCAAATATCCACCTGCAGATCCTACAAAAGGAGTGTTTCCAAAATGCTGTATCAAAACAAAGGTTCAACTGTGTTCGTTTAGGACACACATCACAAATAAGTTTCTGAGAATCCTTCTGTCTAGTTTTTATTTGAAGATATTTCCTTTCTCCACGAAGGCCTGAAAGCGCTTGAAATGTCCACTTCCAGATACTACAGAAAGAGTGTTTCAAACCTGCACTCTGAAAAGGAATGTTCAATTCTGTGACTTGAATGCAAACATCAGAAAGAAGTTCCTGAGAATGCTTCTCTCTAGATTTTATACGTCATCCCGTTTCCAACGAAATCCACAAAGCTATCCAATTATCCACTTTCAGATTCCACAGAAAGAGTGTTTTAAAATTGCTCTGTAACAGAAATGTTCAACTCTGGTAGTTGAATACACACATCACAAACAAGTTTCTGAGACGGCTTCTGTCTAGTTTTTATGGGAAGATATTTCCTTTTAACCATAGGCCTCAAAGAGCTCGAAATATCCACTTCCAGGTAGTGCCGAAAGAGTGTTTCAAACCTACTCTATAAAAGGGAATATTCAACTCTGTGACTTGAATGCAAACATCACAAAGCAGTTTCTGAGAATGCTTCCGTCTAGATTTTCTATGAAGATATTCCCGTTTCCAACGAAATCTTCAAAGCTATCTAAATATCAACTTGCAGATTCTACTAAAGGAATGTCTCCAAAATGCTGTATCCAAACAAAGGTTCAGCTCTGTGAATTGAGGACATACAGCACAAAGAAGTTTCTGAGAATGCTCCTGTCTGGATTTTATAGGAAGATAACCCGTTTCCAACGAAATCCTCAAAGCTATCCAAATATCCACTTGCAGATTCTACCAAAAGAGTGTTTCAAAACTGCTCTGTCAAAAGGAAGGTTCAACACTGTTACTTGAGTACACACAACACAAAGAAGTTTCTGAGAATGCTTCTTTCTGGTTTTTATGAGAAGATATTTCCTTTTTCACCATAGGCCTCAAAGCGCTCGAAATGTCCGCTTCCAGGTAGTGCAGAAAGAGTGTTTCAAACCTGCTCTATGAAAGGAAGTGTTCAACTCTACTGAGTTGAATGCAAACATCACAGAGATGTTTCCGAGAATGCTTCTGTCTTGATTTTATATGAAGATATTCCGGTTTCCAACGAAATCTTCAAAGCTATCCAAATATCCACCTGCAGATTCTACAAAAGGAGTGTTTCCAAAATGCTGTATCAAAACAAAGGTTCAACTCTGTTAGTTGAGGACACACATCACAAATAAGTTTCTGAGAATGCTTCTGTCTAGTTTTTATTTGAAGGTATTTCCTTTCTCTCCATAGGCCTGAAAGCGCTTGAAATGCCCACTTCCAGATACTAGAGAAAGAGTGTTTCAAACCTGCTCTATGAAAGGGAATGTTCAATTCTGTGACTTGAATGCAAACATCACAAAGAAGTTCCTGAGAATGCTTCTCTCTAGATATTATATGTCATCCCGTTTCCAACGAAATCCTCAAAGCTATCCAAATATCCACTTGCAGATTCTACAAAAAGAGTGTTTCAAAACTCCTCTGTCAAAAGGATGGTTCAACACTGTTACATGAGTACACACAACACAAAGAAGTTTCTGAGAATGCTTCTTTCTGGTTTCTATGAGAAGATATTTCCTTTTTCACCATAGGACTCAAAGCGCTCGAAATGTCCTCTTCCAGGTAGTGCAGAAAGAGTGTTTCAAACCTGCTCTATGAAAGGAAGTGTACAACTCCATGAGCTGAATGCAAACATCACTGAGAAGTTTCTGAGAATGCTTCTGTTTGATTTTATATGAAGAAATTCCCGTTTCCAACGAAATCTTCAGAGCTATCCACATATCCACCTGCAGATTCTACAAAAGGAGTGTTTCCAAAATGCTGTATCAAAACCAAGGTTCAACTCTGTTAGTTGAGGACACACATCACAAATAAGTTTCTGAGAATGCTTCTGTCTAGATTTTATATGAAGATATCCCCTTTCCAACGAATCCCTCTAAGCTATCCAAATATCCACCTGCAGATTCTACAAAAAGAGTGTTTCCAAAATGCTGTATCAAAACAAAGTTTCAACTCTGTTAGTTGAGGACACACATCACAAATAAGTTTGAGGATGCTTCTGTCTAGTTTTTATTCGAAGATATTTCCTTTCTCACCATAGGCCTGAAAGCGCTTGAAATGTCCACTTCCAGATACTACAGAATGAGTGTTTCAAACCTGCTCTATCAAAGTGAATGTTCAATTCTCTGACTTCAATGCAAACATCACAAAGAAGTTCCTGAGAATGCTTCTCTCTAGATTTTATACGTAATCCCGCTTCCAACGAAATCCTCAGAGCCATCCGAATATCCACTTTCTGATTCCACAAAAAGAGTGTTTTAAAACGGCTCTGTAAAAACAAAAGTTCAACTCTGTTAGTTGAATACACACATCACAAACAAGTTTCTGAGAATGCTTCTGTCTAGTTTTTATGGGAAGATATTTCCTTTTTCACCATAGGCCTCAAAGCGCTCGAAATGTCCGCTTCCAGATAGTGCAGAAAGAGTGTTTCAAACGTGCTCTATAAAAGGGAATATTCAACTCTGTGACTTGAATGGAAACATCACAAAGCAGTTTCTGAGAATGCTTCCCTCTAGATTTTATATGGAGATATTCCCTTTTCCAACGAAATCTTCAAATCTATCTAAATATCAACTTGCAGATTCTACTCAAGGAATGTTTCCAAAATGCTGTATCCAGGCAATGGTTCAACTCTGTTAATTGAGGACATACAGCACAAAGAAGTTTCTGAGAATGCTTCTGTCTAGATTTTATATGAAGATATCCCGTTTCCAACGAAATCCTCAAAGCTATCCAAATATCCACTTGCAGATTCTACAAAAAGATTTTTTCAAAACTGCTGTGTCAAAAGGAAGGTTCAACTCTGTTACTTGAGTACACACATCAAAAAGAAGTTTCTGAGAATGCTTGTTTCTGGTTTTTATCAGAAGATATTTCCTTTTTCACCATAGGCCTCAAAGCGCTGCAAATGTCCACTTCCAAATATTACAAAAAGAGTGTTTCAAACCTGCTCTATGAAAGGAAGTTTTCAACTCTATGAGTGGAATGCAAACATCACAGAGAAGTTTCTGAGAATGCATCTGTCTTGAGTTTATATGAAGACATTCCCGTTTCCAACGAAATCTTAAAATCTATCCAAATATCCACCTGCAGATTCTACAAAGGGAGTGTTTCCAAAATGCTGTATCAAAACAAAGGTTCAACTGTGTTCGTTTAGGACACACATCACCAATAAGTTTCTGAGAATCCTTCTGTCTAGTTTTTATTTGAAGATATTTCCTTTCTCCCTATAGGCCTGAAAGCGCTGGAAATGTCCACTTCCAGATACTACAGAAAGAGTGTTTCAAACCTGCACTATGAAAAGGAATGTTCAATTCTGTGACTTGAATGCAAACATCAGAAAGAAGTTCCTGAGAATGCTTCTCTCTAGATTTTATACGTCATCCCGTTTCCAACGAAATCCACAAAGCTATCCAATTATCCACTTTCAGATTCCACAAAAGAGTGTTTTAAAACTGCTCTGTAAAAAGAAATGTTCAACGCTCTTAGTTGAATACACACATCTCAAACAAGTTTCTGAGAAGGCTTCCGTCTAGTTTTTATGGGAAGATATTTCCTTTTTCACCACAGGCCTCAAAGCGCTCGAAATCTCCACTTCCAGGGAGTGCAGAAAGAGTGTTTCAAACCTGCTCTGTAAAAGAATATTTAACTCTGTGACTTGAATGCAAACATCACAAAGCAGTTTCTGACAATGCTTCCCTCTAGATTTTATATGGAGATATTCCCTTTTCCAACGAAATCTTCAAATCTATCTAAATATCAACTTGCAGATTCTACTCAAGGAATGTTTCCAAAATGCTGTATCCAAGCAATGGTTGAACTCTGTTAATTGAGGACATACAGCACAAAGAAGTTTCTGAGAATGCTTCTGTCTAGATTTTATATGAAGATATCCCGTTTCCAACGAAATCCTCAAAGCTATCCAAATATCCACTTGCAGATTCTACAAAAAGATTGTTTCAAAACTGCTGTGTCAAAAGGAAGGTTCAACTCTGTTACTTGAGTACACACATCAAAAAGAAGTTTCTGAGAATGCTTGTTTCTGGTTTTTATGAGAAGATATTTCCTTTTTTCACCATAGGCCTCAAAGCGCTGCAAATGTCCACTTCCAAATATTACAAAAAGAGTGTTTCAAACCTGCTCTATGAAAGGAAGTTTTCAACTCTATGAGTGGAATGCAAACATCACAGAGAAGTTTCTGAGAATGCATCTGTCTTGAGTTTATATGCAGAAATTCCCGTTTCCAACGAAATCTTAAAATCTATCCAAATATCCACCTGCAGATCCTACAAAAGGAGTGTTTCCAAAATGCTGTATCAAAACAAAGGTTCAACTGTGTTCGTTTAGGACACACATCACAAATAAGTTTCTGAGAATCCTTCTGTCTAGTTTTTATTTGAAGATATTTCCTTTCTCCCCGTAGGCCTGAAAGCGCTTGAAATGTCCACTTCCAGATACTACAGAAAGAGTGTGTTTCAAACCTGCACTCTGAAAAGGAATGTTCAATTCTGTGACTTGAATGCAAACATCAGAAAGAAGTTCCTGAGAATGCTTCTCTCTAGATTTTATACGTCATCCCGTTTCCAACGAAATCCACAAAGCTATCCAATTATCCACTTTCAGATTCCACAAAAAGAGTGTTTTAAAATTGCTCTGTAACAGAAATGTTCAACTCTGGTAGTTGAATACACACATCACAAACAAGTTTCTGAGACGGCTTCTGTCTAGTTTTTATGGGAAGATATTTCCTTTTAACCATAGGCCTCAAAGAGCTCGAAATATCCACTTCCAGGTAGTGCCGAAAGAGTGTTTCAAACCTACTCTATAAAAGGGAATATTCAACTCTGTGACTTGAATGCAAACATCACAAAGCAGTTTCTGAGAATGCTTCCGTCTAGATTTTCTATGAAGATATTCCCGTTTCCAACGAAATCTTCAAAGCTATCTAAATATCAACTTGCAGATTCTACTAAAGGAATGTCTCCAAAATGCTGTATCCAAACAAAGGTTCAGCTCTGTGAATTGAGGACATACAGCACAAAGAAGTTTCTGAGAATGCTCCTGTCTGGATTTTATATGAAGATAACCCGTTTCCAACGAAATCCTCAAAGCTATCCAAATATCCACTTGCAGATTCTACCAAAAGAGTGTTTCAAAACTGCTCTGTCAAAAGGAAGGTTCAACACTGTTACTTGAGTACACACAACACAAAGAAGTTTCTGAGAATGCTTCCTTTCTGGTTTTTATGTGAAGATATTTCCTTTTTCACCATAGGCCTCAAAGCGCTCGAAATGTCCGCTTCCAGGTAGTGCAGAAAGAGTGTTTCAAACCTGCTCTATGAAAGGAAGTGTTCAACTCTACTGAGTTGAATGCAAACATCACAGAGATGTTTCCGAGAATGCTTCTGTCTTGATTTTATATGAAGATATTCCGGTTTCCAACGAAATCTTCAAAGCTATCCAAATATCCACCTGCAGATTCTACAAAAGGAGTGTTTCCAAAATGCTGTATCAAAACAAAGGTTCAACTCTGTTAGTTGAGGACACACATCACAAATAAGTTTCTGAGAATGCTTCTGTCTAGTTTTTATTTGAAGGTATTTCCTTTCTCTCCATAGGCCTGAAAGCGCTTGAAATGCCCACTTCCAGATACTAGAGAAAGAGTGTTTCAAACCTGCTCTATGAAAGGGAATGTTCAATTCTGTGACTTGAATGCAAACATCACAAAGAAGTTCCTGAGAATGCTTCTCTCTAGATATTATATGTCATCCCGTTTCCAACGAAATCCTCAAAGCTATCCAAATATCCACTTGCAGATTCTACAAAAAGAGTGTTTCAAAACTCCTCTGTCAAAAGGATGGTTCAACACTGTTACATGAGTACACACAACACAAAGAAGTTTCTGAGAATGCTTCTTTCTGGTTTCTATGAGAAGATATTTCCTTTTTCACCATAGGACTCAAAGTGCTCGAAATGTCCTCTTCCAGGTAGTGCAGAAAGAGTGTTTCAAACCTGCTCTATGAAAGGAAGTGTTCAACTCCATGAGCTGAATGCAAACATCACTGAGAAGTTTCTGAGAATGCTTCTGTTTGATTTTATATGAAGAAATTCCCGTTTCCAACGAAATCTTCAGAGCTATCCACATATCCACCTGCAGATTCTACAAAAGGAGTGTTTCCAAAATGCTGTATCAAAACCAAGGTTCAACTCTGTTAGTTGAGGACACACATCACAAATAAGTTTCTGAGAATGCTTCTGTCTAGATTTTATATGAAGATATCCCCTTTCCAACGAATCCCTCTAAGCTATCCAAATATCCACCTGCAGATTCTACAAAAAGAGTGTTTCCAAAATGCTGTATCAAAACAAAGTTTCAACTCTGTTAGTTGAGGACACACATCACAAATAAGTTTCTGAGGATGCTTCTGTCTAGTTTTTATTCGAAGATATTTCCTTTCTCACCATAGGCCTGAAAGCGCTTGAAATGTCCACTTCCAGATACTACAGAATGAGTGTTTCAAACCTGCTCTATAAAAGTGAATGTTCAATTCCGTGACTTCAATGCAAACATCACAAAGAAGTTCCTGAGAATGCTTCTCTCTAGATTTTATACGTAATCCCGCTTCCAACGAAATCCTCAGAGCCATCCGAATATCCACTTTCTGATTCCACAAAAAGAGTGTTTTAAAACGGCTCTGTAAAAACAAAAGTTCAACTCTGTTAGTTGAATACACACATCACAAACAAGTTTCTGAGAATGCTTCTGTCTAGTTTTTATGGGAAGATATTTCCTTTTTCACCATAGGCCTCAAAGCGCTCGAAATGTCCGCTTCCAGATAGTGCAGAAAGAGTGTTTCAAACGTGCTCTATAAAAGGGAATATTCAACTCTGTGACTTGAATGGAAACATCACAAAGCAGTTTTCTGAGAATGCTTCCCTCTAGATTTTATATGGAGATATTCCCTTTTCCAACGAAATCTTCAAATCTATCTAAATATCAACTTGCAGATTCTACTCAAGGAATGTTTCCAAAATGCTGTATCCAGGCAATGGTTCAACTCTGTTAATTGAGGACATACAGCACAAAGAAGTTTCTGAGAATGCTTCTGTCTAGATTTTATATGAAGATATCCCGTTTCCAACGAAATCCTCAAAGCTATCCAAATATCCACTTGCAGATTCTACAAAAAGATTGTTTCAAAACTGCTGTGTCAAAAGGAAGGTTCAACTCTGTTACTTGAGTACACACATCAAAAAGAAGTTTCTGAGAATGCTTGTTTCTGGTTTTTATGAGAAGATATTTCCTTTTTCACCATAGGCCTCAAAGCGCTGCAAATGTCCACTTCCACATATTACAAAAAGAGTGTTTCAAACCTGCTCTATGAAAGGAAGTTTTCAACTCTATGAGTGGAATGCAAACATCACAGAGAAGTTTCTGAGAATGCATCTGTCTTGAGTTTATATGCAGAAATTCCCGTTTCCAACGAAATCTTAAAATCTATCCAAATATCCACCTGCAGATCCTACAAAAGGAGTGTTTCCAAAATGCTGTATCAAAACAAAGGTTCAACTGTGTTCGTTTAGGACACACATCACAAATAAGTTTCTGAGAATCCTTTCTGTCTAGTTTTTATTTGAAGATATTTCCTTTCTCCCCGTAGGCCTGAAAGCGCTTGAAATGTCCACTTCCAGATACTACAGAAAGAGTGTTTCAAACCTGCACTCTGAAAAGGAATGTTCAATTCTGTGACTTGAATGCAAACATCAGAAAGAAGTTCCTGAGAATGCTTCTCTCTAGATTTTATACGTAATCCCGTTTCCAACGCAATCCACAAAGCTATCCAATTATCCACTTTCAGATTCCACAAAAAGAGTGTTTTAAAACTGCTGTGTAGAAGGAAGTGTTCAACGCTCTTAGTTGAATACACACATCTGAAACAAGTTTCTGAGAAGGCTTCCGTCTAGTTTTTATGGGAAGATATTTCCTTTTTCACCAAAGGCCTCAAAGCGCTCGAAATCTCCACTTCCAGGGAGTGCAGAAAGAGTGTTTCAAACCTGCTCTGTAAAAGAATATTTAACTCTGTGACTTGAATGCAAACATCACAAAGCAGTTTCTGACAATGCTTCCGTCTAGATTTTTTATGAAGATATTCCCGTTTCCAACGAAATCTTCAAAGCTATCTAAATATCAACTTGCAGATTCTACTAAAGGAATGTTTCCAAAATGCTGTATCCAAACAAAGGTTCAACTCTGTGAATTGAGGACATACAGCACAAAGAAGTTTCTGAGAATGCTTCTGTCTAGATTTAATATGAAGATAACCCGTTTCCAACGAAATCCTCAAAGCTATCCAAATATCCACTTGCAGATTCTACAAAAAGAGTGTTTCAAAACTGCTCTGTCAAAAGGATGGTTCAACACTGTTACATGAGTACACACAACACAAAGAAGTTTCTGAGAACGCTTCTTTCTGGTTTTTATGAGAGGATATTTCCTTTTTCACCATAGGCCTCAAAGCGCTCGAAATGTCCACTTCCAGGTAGTGCAGAAAGAGTGTTTCAAACCTGCTCTATGAAAGGAAGTGTTCAACTCCATGAGCTGAATGCAAACATCACAGAGAAGTTCCTGAGAATGCTTCTGTTTGATTTTATATGAAGAAATTCCCGTTTCCAACGAAATCTTCAAAGCTATCCACATATCCACCTGCAGATTCTTCAAAAGGAGTGTTTCCAAAATGCTGTATCAAAACCAAGGTTCAACTCTGTTAGTTGAGGACACACATCACAAATAAGTTTCTGAGAATGCTTCTGTCTAGATTTTATATGAAGATATCCCCTTTCCAACGAATCCCTCTAAGCTATCCAAATATCCACCTGCAGATTCTACAAAAAGAGTGTTTCCAAATGCTGTATCAAAACAAAGTTTCAACTCTGTTAGTTGAGGACACACATCACAAATAAGTTTCTGAGGATGCTTCTGTCTAGTTTTAATTTGAAGATATTTCCTTTCTCACCATAGGCCTGAAAGCGCTTGAAATGTCCACTTCCAGATACTACAGCATGAGTGTTTCAAACCTGCTCTATCATAGTGAATGTTCAATTCTGTGACTTCAATGCAAACATCACAAAGTAGTTCCTGAGAATGCTTCTCTCTAGATTTTATATGTAATCACGCTTCCAACGAAATCCTCAAAGCCATCCGAATATCCACTTTCTGATTCCACAAAAAGATTGTTTTAAAACTGCTCTGTAAAAACAAAAGTTCAAGTCTGTTAGTTGAATACACACATCACAAACAAGTTTCTGAGAATGCTTCTGTCTAGTTTTTATGGGAAGATATTTCCTTTTTCACCATAGGCCTCAAAGCGCTCGAAATGTCCACTTCCAGATAGTGCCGAAAGAGTGTTTCAAACGTGCTCTATAAAAGGGAATATTCAACTCTGTGACTTGAATGGAAACATCACAAAGCAGTTTCTGAGAATGCCTCCGTCTAGATTTTATATGAAGATATTCCCGTTTCCAACGAAATCTTCAAATCTATCTAAATATCAACTTGCAGATTCTACTAAAGGAATGTTTCCAAAATGCTGTATCCAAGCAATGGTTCAACTCTGTTAATTGAGGACATACAGCACAAAGAAGTTTCTGAGAATGCTTCTGTCTAGATTTTATATGAAGATATCCCGTTTCCAACGAAATCCTCAAAGCTATCCAAATATCCACTTGCAGATTCTACAAAAAGATTGTTTCAAAACTGCTGTGTCAAGAGGAAGGTTCAACTCTGTTACTTGAGTACACACATCAAAAAGAAGTTTCTGAGAATGCTTGTTTCTGGTTTTTATGAGAAGATATTTCCTTTTTCACCATAGGCCTCAAAGCGCTGCAAATGTCCACTTCCAAATATTACAGAAAGAGTGTTTCAAACCTGTTCTATGAAAGGAAGTTTTCAACTCTATGAGTGGAATGCAAACATCACAGAGAAGTTTCTGAGAATGCATCTGTCTTGAGTTTCTATGAAGAAATTCCCGTTTCCAACGAAATCTTAAAATCTATCCAAATATCCACCTGCAGATTCTACAAAAGGAGTGTTTCCAAAATGCTGTATCAAAACAAAGGTTCAACTGTGTTCGTTTAGGACACACATCACAAATAAGTTTCTGAGAAGCATTCTGTCTAGTTTTTATTTGAAGATATTTCCTTTCACCCCGTAGGCCTGAAAGCGCTTGAAATGTCCACTTCCAGATACTACAGAAAGAGTGTTTCAAACCTGCACTATGAAAAGGAATGTTCAATTCTGTGACTTGAATGCAAACATCAGAAAGAAGTTCCTGAGAATGCTTCTCTCTAGATTTTATACGTCATCCCGTTTCCAACGAAATCCACAAAGCTATCCAATTATCCACTTTCAGATTCCACAAAAAGAGTGTTTTAAAATTGCTCTGTAACAGAAATGTTCAACTCTGTTAGTTGAATACACACATCACAAACAAGTTTCTGAGACGGCTTCTGTCTAGTTTTTATGGGAAGATATTTCCTTTTAACCATAGGCCTCAAAGAGCTCGAAATATCCACTTCCAGGTAGTGCCGAAAGAGTGTTTCAAACCTACTCTATAAAAGGGAATATTCAACTCTGTGACTTGAATGCAAACATCACAAAGCAGTTTCTGAGAATGCTTCCGTCTAGATTTTCTATGAAGATATTCCCGTTTCCAACGAAATCTTCAAAGCTATCTAAATATCAACTTGCAGATTCTACTAAAGGAATGTCTCCAAAATGCTGTATCCAAACAAAGGTTCAGCTCTGTGAATTGAGGACATACAGCACAAAGAAGTTTCTGAGAATGCTCCTGTCTGGATTTTATAGGAAGATAACCCGTTTCCAACGAAATCCTCAAAGCTATCCAAATATCCACTTGCAGATTCTACCAAAAGAGTGTTTCAAAACTACTCTGTCAAAAGGAAGGTTCAACACTGTTACTTGAGTACACACAACACAAAGAAGTTTCTGAGAATGCTTCTTTCTGGTTTTTATGAGAAGATATTTCCTTTTTCACCATAGGCCTCAAAGCGCTCGAAATGTCCGCTTCCAGGTAGTGCAGAAAGAGTGTTTCAAACCTGCTCTATGAAAGGAAGTGTTCAACTCTACTGAGTTGAATGCAAACATCACAGAGATGTTTCCGAGAATGCTTCTGTCTTGATTTTATATGAAGATATTCCGGTTTCCAACGAAATCTTCAAAGCTATCCAAATATCCACCTGCAGATTCTACAAAAGGAGTGTTTCCAAAATGCTGTATCAAAACAAAGGTTCAACTCTGTTAGTTGAGGACACACATCACAAATAAGTTTCTGAGAATGCTTCTGTCTAGTTTTTATTTGAAGGTATTTCCTTTCTCTCCATAGGCCTGAAAGCGCTTGAAATGCCCACTTCCAGATACTAGAGAAAGAGTGTTTCAAACCTGCTCTATGAAAGGGAATGTTCAATTCTGTGACTTGAATGCAAACATCACAAAGAAGTTCCTGAGAATGCTTCTCTCTAGATATTATATGTCATCCCGTTTCCAACGAAATCCTCAAAGCTATCCAAATATCCACTTGCAGATTCTACAAAAAGAGTGTTTCAAAACTGCTCTGTCAAAAGGATGGTTCAACACTGTTACATGAGTACACACAACACAAAGAAGTTTCTGAGAATGCTTCTTTCTGGTTTCTATGAGAAGATATTTCCTTTTTCACCATAGGACTCAAAGCGCTCGAAATGTCCTCTTCCAGGTAGTGCAGAAAGAGTGTTTCAAACCGGCTCTATGAAGGGAAGTGTTCAACTCCATGAACTGAATGCAAACATCACTGAGAAGTTTCTGAGAATGCTTCTGTTTGATTTTATATGAAGAAATTCCCGTTTCCAACGAAATCTTCAGAGCTATCCACATATCCACCTGCAGATTCTACAAAAGGAGTGTTTCCAAAATGCTGTATCAAAACCAAGGTTCAACTCTGTTAGTTGAGGACACACATCACAAATAAGTTTCTGAGGATGCTTCTGTCTAGTTTTTATTCGAAGATATTTCCTTTCTCACCATAGGCCTGAAAGCGCTTGAAATGTCCACTTCCAGATCCTACAGAATGAGTGTTTCAAACCTGCTCTATCAAAGTGAATGTTCAATTCTGTGACTTCAATGCAAACATCACAAAGAAGTTCCTGAGAATGCTTCTCTCTAGATTTTATATGTAATCCCGCTTCCAACGAAATCCTCAGAGCCATCCGAATATCCACTTTCTGATTCCACAAAAAGAGTGTTTTAAAACGGCTCTGTAAAAACAAAAGTTCAACTCTGTTAGTTGAATACACACATCACAAACAAGTTTCTGAGAATGCTTCTGTCTAGTTTTTATGGGAAGATATTTCCTTTTTCACCATAGGCCTCACAGCGCTCGAAATGTCCACTTCCAGATAGCGCAGAAAGAGTGTTTCAAACGTGCTCTATAAAAGGGAATATTCAACTCTGTGACTTGAATGGAAACATCACAAAGCAGTTTCTGAGAATGCTTCCCTCTAGATTTTATATGGAGATATTCCGTTTTCGAACGAAATCTTCAAATCTATCTAAATATCAACTTGCAGATTCTACTCAAGGAATGTTTCCAAAATGCTGTATGCAAGCAATGGTTCAACTCTGTTAATTGAGGTCATACAGCACAAAGAAGTTTCTGAGAATGCTTCTGTCTAGATTTTATATGAAGATATCCCGTTTCCAACGAAATCCTCAAAGCTATCCAAATATCCACTTGCAGATTCTACAAAAAGATTGTTTCAAAACTGCTGTGTCAAAAGGAAGGTTCAACTCTGTTACTTGAGTACACACATCAAAAAGAAGTTTCTGAGAATGCTTGTTTCTGGTTTTTATGAGAAGATATTTCCTTTTTCACCATAGGCCTCAAAGCGCTGCAAATTTCCACTTCCAAATATTACAAAAAGAGTGTTTCAAACCTGCTCTATGAAAGGAAGTTTTCAACTCTATGAGTGGAATGCAAACATCACAGAGAAGTTTCTGAGAATGCATCTGTCTTGAGTTTCTATGAAGAAATTCCCGTTTCCAACGAAATCTTAAAATCTATCCAAATATCCACCTGCAGATTCTACAAAAGGAGTGTTTCCAAAAGGCTGTATCAAAACAAAGGTTCAACTGTGTTCGTTTAGGACACACATCACCAATAAGTTTCTGAGAATCCTTCTGTCTAGTTTTTATTTGAAGATATTTCCTTTCTCCCCATAGGCCTGAAAGCGCTTGAAATGTCCACTTCCAGATGCTACAGAAAGAGCGTTTCAAACCTGCACTATGAAAAGGAATGTTCAATTCTGTGACTTGAATGCAAACATCAGAAAGAAGTTCCTGAGAATGCTTCTCTCTAGATTTTATACGTCATCCCGTTTCCAACGAAATCCACAAAGCTATCCAATTATCCACTTTCAGATTTCACAGAAAGAGTGTTTTAAAATTGCTCTGTAACAGAAATGTTCAACTCTGTTAGTTGAATACACACATCACAAACAAGTTTCTGAGACGGCTTCTGTCTAGTTTTTATGGGAAGATATTTCCTTTTAAGCATAGGCCTCAAAGAGCTCGAAATATCCACTTCCAGGTAGTGCCGAAAGAGTGTTTCAAACCTACTCTATAAAAGGGAATATTCAACTCTGTGACTTGAATGCAAACATCACAAAGCAGTTTATGAGAATGCTTCCGTCTAGATTTTCTATGAAGATATTCCCGTTTCCAATGAAATCTTCAAAGCTATCTAAATATCAACTTGCAGATTCTACTAAAGGAATGTTTCCAAAATGCTGTATCCAAACAAAGGTTCAGCTCTGTGAATTGAGGACATACAGCACAAAGAAGTTTCTGTGAATGCTCCTGTCTGGATTTTATATGAAGATAACCCGTTTCCAACGAAATCCTCAAAGCTATCCAAATATCCCCTTGCAGATTCTACCAAAAGAGTGTTTCAAACCTGCTCTGTCAAAAGGAAGGTTCAACACTGTTACTTGAGTACACACAACACAAAGAAGTTTCTGAGAATGCTTCTTTCTGGTTTTTATGAGAAGATATTTCCTTTTTTCACCATAGGCCTCAAAGCGCTCGAAATGTCCGCTTCCAGGTAGTGCAGAAAGAGTGTTTCAAACCGGCTCTATGAAAGGAAGTGTTCAACTCCATGAGCTGAATGCAAACATCACAGAGAAGTTTCTGAGAATGCTTCTGTTTGATTTTACATGAAGAAATTCCCGTTTCCAACGAAATCTTCAAAGCTATCCACATATCCACCTGCAGATTCTACAAAAGGAGGGTTTCCAAAATGCTGTATCAAAACCAAGGTTCAACTCTGTTAGTTGAGGACACACATCACAAATAAGTTTCTGAGAATGCTTCTGTCTAGATTTTATATGAAGATATCCCCTTTCCAACGAATCCCTCTAAGCTATCCAAATATGCACCTGCAGATTCTACAAAAAGAGTGTTTCCAAAAGGCTGTATCAAAACAAAGTTTCAACTCTGTTAGTTGAGGACACACATCACAAATAAGTTTCTGACGATGCTTCTGTCTAGTTTTTATTTGAAGATATTTCCTTTCTCACCATAGGCCTGAAAGCGCTTGAAATGTCCACTTCCAGATACTACAGAATGAGTGTTTCAAACCTGCTCTATCAAAGTGAATGTTCAATTCTGTGACTTCAATGCAAACATCACAAAGAAGTTCCTGAGAATGCTTCTCTCTAGATTTTATATGTAATCCCGCTTCCAACGAAATCCTCAGAGCCATCCGAATATCCACTTTCTGATTCCACAAAAAGAGTGTTTTAAAACTGCTCTGTAGAAACAAAAGTTCAACTCAGTTGAATACACACATCACAAACAAGTTTCTGAGAATGCTTCTGTCTAGTTTTTATGGGAAGATATTTCCTTTTTCACCATAGGCCTCAAAGCGCTCGAAATGTCCACTTCCAGATAGTGCAGAAAGAGTGTTTCAAACGTGCTCTATAAAAGAGAATATTCAACTCTGTGACTTGAATGGAAACATCACAAAGCAGTTTCTGAGAATGCTTCCGTCTAGATTTTATATGAAGATATTCCCGTTTCCAACGAAATCTTCAAATCTATCTAAATATCAACTTGCAGATTCTACTAAAGGAATGTTTCCAAAATGCTGTATCCAAGCAATGGTTCAACTCTGTTAATTGAGGACATACAGCACAAAGAAGTTTCTGAGAATGCTTCTGTCTAGATTTTATATGAAGATATCCCGTTTCCAACGAAATCCTCAAAGCTATCCAAATATCCACTTGCAGATTCTACAAAAAGATTGTTTCAAAACTGCTGTGTCAAAAGGAAGGTTCAACTCTGTTACTTGAGTACACACATCAAAAAGAAGTTTCTGAGAATGCTTGTTTCTGGTTTTTATGAGAAGATATTTCCTTTTTCACCATAGGCCTCAAAGCGCTGCAAATTTCCACTTCCAAATATTACAAAAAGAGTGTTTCAAAACTGCTCTATGAAAGGAAGTTTTCAACTCTATGAGTGGAATGCAAACATCACAGAGAAGTTTCTGAGAATGCATCTGTCTTGAGTTTCTATGAAGAAATTCCCGTTTCCAATGAAATCTTAAAATCTATCCAAATATCCACCTGCAGATTCTACAAAAGGAGTGTTTCCAAAAGGCTGTATCAAAACAAAGGTTCAACTGTGTTCGTTTAGGACACACATCACCAATAAGTTTCTGAGAATCCTTCTGTCTAGTTTTTATTTGAAGATATTTCCTTTCTCCCCATAGGCCTGAAAGCGCTTGAAATGTCCACTTCCAGATGCTACAGAAAGAGCGTTTCATACCTGCACTATGAAAAGGAATGTTCAATTCTGTGACTTGAATGCAAACATCAGAAAGAAGTTCCTGAGAATGCTTCTCTCTAGATTTTATACGTCATCCCGTTTCCAACGAAATCCACAAAGCTATCCAATTATCCACTTTCAGATTTCACAGAAAGAGTGTTTTAAAATTGCTCTGTAACAGAAATGTTCAACTCTGTTAGTTGAATACACACATCACAAACAAGTTTCTGAGACGGCTTCTGTCTAGTTTTTATGGGAAGATATTTCCTTTTAAGCATAGGCCTCAAAGAGCTCGAAATATCCACTTCCAGGTAGTGCCGAAAGAGTGTTTCAAACCTACTCTATAAAAGGGAATATTCAACTCTGTGACTTGAATGCAAACATCACAAAGGAGTTTCTGAGAATGCTTCCGTCTAGATTTTCTATGAAGATATTCCCGTTTCCAATGAAATCTTCAAAGCTATCTAAATATCAACTTGCAGATTCTACTAAAGGAATGTTTCCAAAATGCTGTATCCAAACAAAGGTTCAGCTCTGTGAATTGAGGACATACAGCACAAAGAAGTTTCTGTGAATGCTCCTGTCTGGATTTTATATGAAGATAACCCGTTTCCAACGAAATCCTCAAAGCTATCCAAATATCCACTTGCAGATTCTACCAAAAGAGTGTTTCAAACCTGCTCTGTCAAAAGGAAGGTTCAACACTGTTACTTGAGTACACACAACACAAAGAAGTTTCTGAGAATGCTTCTTTCTGGTTTTTATGAGAAGATATTTCCTTTTTCACCATAGGCCTCAAAGCGCTCGAAATGTCCGCTTCCAGGTAGTGCAGAAAGAGTGTTTCAAACCTGCTCTATGAAAGGAAGTGTTCAACTCCATGAGCTGAATGCAAACATCACAGAGAAGTTTCTGAGAATGCTTCTGTTTGATTTTACATGAAGAAATTCCCGTTTCCAACGAAATCTTCAAAGCTATCCACATATCCACCTGCAGATTCTACAAAAGGAGTGTTTCCAAAATGCTGTATCAAAACCAAGGTTCAACTCTGTTAGTTGAGGACACACATCACAAATAAGTTTCTGAGAATGCTTCTGTCTAGATTCTATATGAAGATATCCCCTTTCCAACGAATCCCTCTAAGCTATCCAAATATCCACCTGCAGATTCTACAAAAAGAGTGTTTCCAAAATGCTGTATCAAAACAAAGTTTCAACTCTGTTAGTTGAGGACACACATCACCAATTAGTTTGAGGATGCTTCTGTCTAGTTTTTATTCAAAGATATTTCCTTTCTCACCATAGGCCTGAAAGCGCTTGAAATGTCCACTTCCAGATACTACAGAATGAGTGTTTCAAACCTGCTCTATCAAAGTGAATGTTCAATTCTGTGACTTCAATGCAAACATCAGAAAGAAGTTCCTGAGAATGCTTCTCTCTAGATTTTATACGTAATCCCGCTTCCAACGAAATCCTCAGAGCCATCCGAATATCCACTTTCTGATTCCACAAAAAGAGTGTTTTAAAACGGCTCTGTAAAAACAAAAGTTCAACTCTGTTAGTTGAATACACACATCACAAACAAGTTTCTGAGAATGCTTCTGTCTAGTTTTTATGGGAAGATATTTCCTTTTTCACCATAGGCCTCAAAGCGCTCGAAATGTCCGCTTCCAGATAGTGCAGAAAGAGTGTTTCAAACGTGCTCTATAAAAGGGAATATTCAACTCTGTGACTTGAATGGAAACATCACAAAGCAGTTTCTGAGAATGCTTCCCTCTAGATTTTATATGGAGATATTCCCTTTTCCAACGAAATCTTCAAATCTATCTAAATATCAACTTGCAGATTCTACTCAAGGAATGTTTCCAAAATGCTGTATCCAGGCAATGGTTCAACTCTGTTAATTGAGGACATACAGCACAAAGAAGTTTCTGAGAATGCTTCTGTCTAGATTTTATATGAAGATATCCCGTTTCCAACGAAATCCTCAAAGCTATCCAAATATCCACTTGCAGATTCTACAAAAAGATTGTTTCAAAACTGCTGTGTCAAAAGGAAGGTTCAACTCTGTTACTTGAGTACACACATCAAAAAGAAGTTTCTGAGAATGCTTGTTTCTGGTTTTTATGAGAAGATATTTCCTTTTTCACCATAGGCCTCAAAGCGCTGCAAATGTCCACTTCCAAATATTACAAAAAGAGTGTTTCAAACCTGCTCTATGAAAGGAAGTTTTCAACTCTATGAGTGGAATGCAAACATCACAGAGAAGTTTCTGAGAATGCATCTGTCTTGAGTTTATATGCAGAAATTCCCGTTTCCAACGAAATCTTAAAATCTATCCAAATATCCACCTGCAGATCCTACAAAAGGAGTGTTTCCAAAATGCTGTATCAAAACAAAGGTTCAACTGTGTTCGTTTAGGACACACATCACAAATAAGTTTCTGAGAATCCTTCTGTCTAGTTTTTATTTGAAGATATTTCCTTTCTCCCCGTAGGCCTGAAAGCGCTTGAAATGTCCACTTCCAGATACTACAGAAAGAGTGTTTCAAACCTGCACTCTGAAAAGGAATGTTCAATTCTGTGACTTGAATGCAAACATCAGAAAGAAGTTCCTGAGAATGCTTCTCTCTAGATTTTATACGTCATCCCGTTTCCAATGAAATCCACAAAGCTATCCAATTATACACTTTCAGATTCCACAAAAAGACTGTTTTAAAATTGCTCTGTAACAGAAATGTTCAACTCTGTTAGTTGAATACACACATCACAAACAAGTTTCTGAGACGGCTTGTCTGTCTAGTTTTTATGGGAAGATATTTCCTTTTAACCATAGGCCTCAAAGAGCTCGAAATATCCACTTCCAGGTAGTGCCGAAAGAGTGTTTCAAACCTACTCTATAAAAGGGAATATTCAACTCTGTGACTTGAATGCAAACATCACAAAGCAGTTTCTGAGAATGCTTCCGTCTAGATTTTCTATGAAGATATTCCCGTTTCCAACGAAATCTTCAAAGCTATCTAAATATCAACTTGCAGATTCTACTAAAGGAATGTCTCCAAAATGCTGTATCCAAACAAAGGTTCAGCTCTGTGAATTGAGGACATACAGCACAAAGAAGTTTCTGAGAATGCTCCTGTCTGGTATTTTATATGAAGATAACCCGTTTCCAACGAAATCCTCAAAGCTATCCAAATATCCACTTGCAGATTCTACCAAAAGAGTGTTTCAAAACTGCTCTGTCAAAAGGAAGGTTCAACACTGTTACTTGAGTACACACAACACAAAGAAGTTTCTGAGAATGCTTCTTTCTGGTTTTTATGAGAAGATATTTCCTTTTTCAACATAGGCCTCAAAGCGCTCGAAATGTCCGCTTCCAGATAGTGCAGAAAGAGTGTTTCAAACCTGCTCTATGAAAGGAAGTGTTCAACTCTACTGAGTTGAATGCAAACATCACAGAGATGTTTCCGAGAATGATTCTGTCTTGATTTTATATGAAGATATTCCGGTTTCCAACGAAATCTTCAAAGCTATCCAAATATCCACCTGCAGATTCTACAAAAGGAGTGTTTCCAAAATGCTGTATCAAAACAAAGGTTCAACTCTGTTAGTTGAGGACACACATCACAAATAAGTTTCTGAGAATGCTTCTGTCTAGTTTTTATTTGAAGGTATTTCCTTTCTCTCCATAGGCCTGAAAGCGCTTGAAATGCCCACTTCCAGATACTAGAGAAAGAGTGTTTCAAACCTGCTCTATGAAAGGGAATGTTCAATTCTGTGACTTGAATGCAAACATCACAAAGAAGTTCCTGAGAATGCTTCTCTCTAGATATTATATGTCATCCCGTTTCCAACGAAATCCTCAAAGCTATCCAAATATCCACTTGCAGATTCTACAAAAAGAGTGTTTCAAAACTCCTCTGTCAAAAGGATGGTTCAACACTGTTACATGAGTACACACAACACAAAGAAGTTTCTGAGAATGCTTCTTTCTGGTTTCTATGAGAAGATATTTCCTTTTTCACCATAGGACTCAAAGCGCTCGAAATGTCCTCTTCCAGGTAGTGCAGAAAGAGTGTTTCAAACCGGCTCTATGAAAGGAAGTGTTCAACTCCATGAACTGAATGCAAACATCACTGAAAAGTTTCTGAGAATGCTTCTGTTTGATTTTATATGAAGAAATTCCCGTTTCCAACGAAAACTTCAAAGCTATCCACATATCCACCTGCAGATCCTTCAAAAGGAGTGTTTCCAAAATGCTGTATCAAAACCAAGGTTCAACTCTGTTAGTTGAGGACACACATCACAAATAAGTTTCTGAGAATGCTTCTGTCTAGATTTTATATGAAGATATCCCCTTTCCAACGAATCCCTCTAAGCTATCCAAATATCCACCTGCAGATTCTACAAAAAGAGTGTTTCCAAAATGCTGTATCAAAACAAAGTTTCCACTCTGTTAGTTGAGGACACACATCACAAATAAGTTTCTGAGGATGCTTCTGTCTAGTTTTTATTTGAAGATATTTCCTTTCTCACCATAGGCCTGAAAGCGCTTGAAATGTCCACTTCCAGATACTACAGCATGAGTGTTTCAAACCTGCTCTATCATAGTGAATGTTCAATTCTGTGACTTCAATGCAAACATCACAAAGTAGTTCCTGAGAATGCTTCTCTCTAGATTTTATATGTAATCACGCTTCCAACGAAATCCTCAAAGCCATCCGAATATCCACTTTCTGATTCCACAAAAAGATTGTTTTAAAACTGCTCTGTAAAAACAAAAGTTCAAGTCTGTTAGTTGAATACACACATCACAAACAAGTTTCTGAGAATGCTTCTGTCTAGTTTATATGGGAAGATATTTCCTTTTTCACCATAGGCCTCAAAGCGCTCGAAATGTCCACTTCCAGATAGTGCAGAAAGAGTGTTTCAAACGTGCTCTATAAAAGAGAATATTCAACTCTGTGACTTGAATGGAAACATCACAAAGCCGTTTCTGAGAATGCCTCCGTCTAGATTTTATATGAAGATATTCCCGTTTCCAACGAAATCTTCAAATCTATCTAAATATCAACTTGCAGATTCTACTAAAGGAATGTTTCCAAAATGCTGTGTCCAAGCAATGGTTCAACTCTGTTAATTGAGGACATACAGCACAAAGAAGTTTCTGAGAATGCTTCTGTCTAGATTTTATATGAAGATATCCCGTTTCCAACGAAATCCTCAAAGCTATCCAAATATCCACTTGCAGATTCTACAAAAAGATTGTTTCAAAACTGCTGTGTCAAAAGGAAGGTTCAACTCTGTTACTTGAGTACACACATCAAAAAGCAGTTTCTGAGAATGCTTGTTTCTGGTTTTTATGAGAAGATATTTCCTTTTTCACCATAGGCCTCAAAGCGCTGCAAATGTCCAGTTCCAAATATTACAAAAAGAGTGTTTCAAACCTGCTCTATGAAAGGAAGTTTTCAACTCTATGAGTGGAATGCAAACATCACAGAGAAGTTTCTGAGAATGCATCTGTCTTGAGTTTATATGAAGAAATTCCCGTTTCCAATGAAATCTTAAAATCTATCCAAATATCCACCTGCAGATTCTACAAAAGGAGTGTTTCCAAAATGCTGTATCAAAACAAAGGTTCAACTGTGTTCGTTTAGGACACACATCACAAATAAGTTTCTGAGAATCCTCCTGTCTAGTTTTTATTTCAAGATATTTCCTTTCTCCCCATAGGCTTGAAAGCGCTTGAAATGTCCACTTCCAGATACTACAGAGTGTTTCAAACCTGCACTATGAAAAGGAATGTTCAATTCTGTGACTTGAATGCAAACATCAGAAAGAAGTTCCTGAGAATGCTTCTCTCTAGATTTTAAACGTAATCCCGTTTCCAAAGAAATCCACAAAGCTATCCAATTATCCACTTTCAGATTCCACCAAAAGAGTGTTTTAAAACTGCTCTGTAAAAAGAAATGTTCAACGCTCTTAGTTGAATACACACATCTCAAACAAGTTTCTGAGAAGGCTTCCGTCTAGTTTTTATGGGAAGATATTTCCTTTTTCACCATAGGCCTCAAAGCGCTCGAAATCTCCACTTCCAGGGAGTGCAGAAAGAGTGTTTCAAACCTGCTCTATAAACGAATATTTAACTCTGTGACTTGAATGCAAACATCACAGAGCAGTTTCTGACAATGCTTCCGTCTAGATTTTTTATGAAGATATTCCCGTTTCCAACGAAATCTTCAAAGCTATCTAAATATCAACTTGCAGATTCTACTAAAGGAATGTTTCCAAAATGCTGTATCCAAACAAAGGTTCAACTCTGTGAATTGAGGACATACAGCACAAAGAAGTTTCTGAGAATGCTTCTGTCTAGATTTAATATGAAGATAACCCGTTTCCAACGAAATCCTCAAAGCTATCCAAATATCCACTTGCAGATTCTACAAAAAGAGTGTTTCAAAACTGCTCTGTCAAAAGGATGGTTCAACACTGTTACATGAGTACACACAACACAAAGAAGTTTCTGAGAACGCTTCTTTCTGGTTTTTATGAGAGGATATTTCCTTTTTCACCATAGGCCTTAAAGCGCTCGAAATGTCCACTTCCAGGTAGTGCAGAAAGAGTGTTTCAAACCTGCTCTATGAAAGGAAGTGTTCAACTCCATGAGCTGAATGCAAACATCACAGAGAAGTTCCTGAGAATGCTTCTGTTTGATTTTATATGAAGAAATTCCCGTTTCCAACGAAATCTTCAAAGCTATCCACATATCCACCTGCAGATTCTTCAAAAGGAGTGTTTCCAAAATGCTGTATCAAAACCAAGGTTCAACTCTGTTAGTTGAGGACACACATCACAAATAAGTTTCTGAGAATGCTTCTGTCTAGATTTTATATGAATTTATCCCCTTTCCAACGAATCCCTCTAAGCTATCCAAGTATCCACCTGCAGATTCTACAAAAAGAGTGTTTCCAAAATGCTGTATCAAAACAAAGTTTCAACTCTGTTAGTTGAGGACACACATCACAAATAAGTTTCTGAGGATGCTTCTGTCTAGTTTTAATTTGAAGATATTTCCTTTCTCCCCATAGGCCTGAAAGCGCTTGAAATGTCCACTTCCAGATACTACAGAATGAGTGTTTCAAACCTGCTCTATCAAAGTGAATGTTCAATTCTGTGACTTCAATGCAAACATCACAAAGTAGTTCCTGAGAATGCTTCTCTCTACATTTTATATGTAATCCCGCTTCCAACGAAATCCTCAAAGCCATCCGAATATCCACTTTCTGATTCCACAAAAAGATTGTTTTAAAACTGCTCTGTAAAAACAAAAGTTCAAGTCTGTTAGTTGAATACACACATCACAAACAAGTTTCTGAGAATGCTTCTGTCTAGTTTTTATGGGAAGATATTTCCTTTTTCACCATAGGCCTCAAAGCGCTCGAAATGTCCACTTCCAGATAGTGCCGAAAGAGTGTTTCAAACGTGCTCTATAAAAGGGAATATTCAACTCTGTGACTTGAATGGAAACATCACAAAGCAGTTTCTGAGAATGCCTCCGTCTAGATTTTATATGAAGATATTCCCGTTTCCAACGAAATCTTCAAAGCTATCTAAATATCAACTTGCAGATTCTACTAAAGGAATGTTTCCAAAATGCTGTATCCAAGCAATGGTTCAACTCTGTTAATTGAGGACATACAGCACAAAGAAGTTTCTGAGAATGCTTCTGTCTAGGATTTTATATGAAGATATCCCGTTTCCAACGAAATCCTCAAAGCTATCCAAATATCCACTTGCAGATTCTACAAAAAGATTGTTTCAAAACTGCTGTGTCAAAAGGAAGGTTCAACTCTGTTACTTGAGTACACACATCAAAAAGCAGTTTCTGAGAATGCTTGTTTCTGGTTTTTATGAGAAGATATTTCCTTTTTCACCATAGGCCTCAAAGCGCTGCAAATGTCCACTTCCAAATATTACAAAAAGAGTGTTTCAAACCTGCTCTATGAAAGGAAGTTTTCAACTCTATGAGTGGAATGCAAACATCACAGAGAAGTTTCTGAGAATGCATCTGTCTTGAGTTTATATGAAGAAATTCCCGTTTCCAATGAAATCTTAAAATCTATCCAAATATCCACCTGCAGATTCTACAAAAGGAGTGTTTCCAAACTGCTGTATCAAAACAAAGGTTCAACTGTGTTCGTTTAGGACACACATCACAAATAAGTTTCTGAGAATCCTCCTGTCTAGTTTTTATTTCAAGATATTTCCTTTCTCCCCATAGGCTTGAAAGCGCTTGAAATGTCCACTTCCAGATACTACAGAGTGTTTCAAACCTGCACTATGAAAAGGAATGTTCAATTCTGTGACTTGAATGCAAACATCAGAAAGAAGTTCCTGAGAATGCTTCTCTCTAGATTTTAAACGTAATCCCGTTTCCAAAGAAATCCACAAAGCTATCCAATTATCCACGTTCAGATTCCACCAAAAGAGTGTTTTAAAACTGCTCTGTAAAAAGAAATGTTCAACGCTCTTAGTTGAATACACACATCTCAAACAAGTTTCTGAGAAGGCTTCCGTCTAGTTTTTATGGGAAGATATTTCCTTTTTCACCATAGGCCTCAAAGCGCTCGAAATCTCCACTTCCAGGGAGTGCAGAAAGAGTGTTTCAAACCTGCTCTATAAAAGAATATTTAACTCTGTGACTTGAATGCAAACATCACAGAGCAGTTTCTGACAATGCTTCCGTCTAGATTTTTTATGAAGATATTCCCGTTTCCAACGAAATCTTCAAAGCTATCTAAATATCAACTTGCAGATTCTACTAAAGGAATGTTTCCAAAATGCTGTATCCAAACAAAGGTTCAACTCTGTGAATTGAGGACATACAGCACAAAGAAGTTTCTGAGAATGCTTCTGTCTAGATTTAATATGAAGATAACCCGTTTCCAACGAAATCCTCAAAGCTATCCAAATATCCACTGGCAGATTCTACAAAAAGAGTGTTTCAAAACTGCTCTGTCAAAAGGATGGTTCAACACTGTTACATGAGTACACACAACACAAAGAAGTTTCTGAGAACGCTTCTTTCTGGTTTTCATGAGAAGATATTTCCTTTTTGACCATAGGCCTCAAAGCGCTCGAAATGTCCACTTCCAGGTAGTGCAGAAAGAGTGTTTCAAACCTGCTCTATGAAAGGAAGTGTTCAACTCCATGAGCTGAATGCAAACATCACAGAGAAGTTCCTGAGAATGCTTCTGTTTGATTTTATATGAAGAAATTCCCGTTTCCAACGAAATCTTCAAAGCTATCCACATATCCACCTGCAGATTCTTCAAAAGGAGTGTTTCCAAAATGCTGTATCAAAACCAAGGTTCAACTCTGTTAGTTGAGGACCCACATCACAAATAAGTTTCTGAGAATGCTTCTGTCTAGATTTTATATGAATTTATCCCCTTTCCAACGAATCCCTCTAAGCTATCCAAGTATCCACCTGCAGATTCTACAAAAAGAGTGTTTCCAAAATGCTGTATCAAAACAAAGTTTCAACTCTGTTAGTTGAGGACACACATCACAAATAAGTTTCTGAGGATGCTTCTGTCTAGTTTTAATTTGAAGATATTTCCTTTCTCACCATAGGCCTGAAAGCGCTTGAAATGTCCACTTCCAGATACTACAGAATGAGTGTTTCAAACCTGCTCTATCAAAGTGAATGTTCAATTCTGTGACTTCAATGCAAACATCACAAAGTAGTTCCTGAGAATGCTTCTCTCTACATTTTATATGTAATCCCGCTTCCAACGAAATCCTCAAAGCCATCCGAATATCCACTTTCTGATTCCACAAAAAGATTGTTTTAAAACTGCTCTGTAAAAACAAAAGTTCAAGTCTGTTAGTTGAATACACACATCACAAACAAGTTTCTGAGAATGCTTCTGTCTAGTTTTTATGGGAAGATATTTCCTTTTTCACCATAGGCCTCAAAGCGCTCGAAATGTCCACTTCCAGATGGTGCAGAAAGAGTGCTTCAAACGTGCTCTATAAAAGAGAATATTCAACTCTGTGACTTGAATGGAAACATCACAAAGCAGTTTCTGAGAATGCCTCCGTCTAGATTTTATATGAAGATATTCCCGTTTCCAACGAAATCTTCAAATCTATCTAAATATCAACTTGCAGATTCTACTAAAGGAATGTTTCCAAAATGCTGTATCCAAGCAATGGTTCAACTCTGTTAATTGAGGACATACAGCACAAAGAAGTTTCTGAGAATGCTTCTGTCTAGATTTTATATGAAGATATCCCGTTTCCAACGAAATCCTCAAAGCTATCCAAATATCCACTTGCAGATTCTACAAAAAGATTGTTTCAAAACTGCTGTGTCAAAAGGAAGGTTCAACTCTGTTACTTGAGTACACACATCAAAAAGCAGTTTCTGAGAATGCTTGTTTCTGGTTTTTATGAGAAGATATTTCCTTTTTCACCATAGGCCTCAAAGCGCTGCAAATGTCCACTTCCAAATATTACAAAAAGAGTGTTTCAAACCTGCTCTATGAAAGGAAGTTTTCAACTCTGTGAGTGGAATGCAAACATCACAGAGAAGTTTCTGAGAATGCATCTGTCTTGAGTTTATATGAAGATATTCCCGTTTCCAATGAAATCTTAAAATCTATCCAAATATCCACCTGCAGATCCTACAAAAGGAGTGTTTCCAAAATGCTGTATCAAAACAAAGGTTCAACTGTGTTCGTTTAGGACACACATCACAAATAAGTTTCTGAGAATCCTTCTGTCTAGTTTTTATTTCAAGATATTTCCTTTCTCCCCATAGGCCTGAAAGCGCTTGAAATGTCCACTTCCAGATACTACAGAGTGTTTCAAACCTGCACTATGAAAAGGAATGTTCAATTCTGTGACTTGAATGCAAACATCAGAAAGAAGTTCCTGAGAATGCTTCTCTCTAGATTTTAAACCTTATCCCGTTTCCAACGAAATCCACAAAGCTATCCAATTATCCACTTTCAGATTCCACCAAAAGACTGTTTTAAAACTGCTCTGTAAAAAGAAATGTTCAACGCTCTTAGTTGAATACACACATCTCAAACAAGTTTCTGAGAAGGCTTCCGTCTAGTTTTTACGGGAAGATATTTCCTTTTTCACCATAGGCCTCAAAGCGCTCGAAATCTCCACTTCCAGGGAGTGCAGAAAGAGTGTTTCAAACCTGCTCTATAAAAGAATATTTAACTCTGTGACTTGAATGCAAACATCACAGAGCAGTTTCTGACAATGCTTCCGTCTAGATTTTTTATGAAGATATTCCCGTTTCCAACGAAATCTTCAAAGCTATCTCAATATCAACTTGCAGATTCTACTAAAGGAATGTTTCCAAAATGCTGTATCCAAACAAAGGTTCAACTCTGTGAATTGAGGACATACAGCACAAAGAAGTTTCTGAGAATGCTTCTGTCTAGATTTAATATGAAGATAACCCGTTTCCAACGAAATCCTCAAAGCTATCCAAATATCCACTGGCAGATTCTACAAAAAGAGTGTTTCAAAACTGCTCTGTCAAAAGGATGGTTCAACACTGTTACATGAGTACACACAACACAAAGAAGTTTCTGAGAACGCTTCTTTCTGGTTTTTATGAGAGGATATTTCCTTTTTCACCATAGGCCTCAAAGCGCTCGAAATGTCCACTTCCAGGTAGTGCAGAAAGAGTGTTTCAAACCTGCTCTATGAAAGGAAGTGTTCAACTCCATGAGCTGAATGCAAACATCACAGAGAAGTTCCTGAGAATGCTTCTGTTTGATTTTATATGAAGAAATTCCCGTTTCCAACGAAATCTTCAAAGCTATCCACATATCCACCTGCAGATTCTTCAAAAGGAGTGTTTCCAAAATGCTGTATCAAAACCAAGGTTCAACTCTGTTAGTTGAGGACACACATCACAAATAAGTTTCTGAGAATGCTTCTGTCTAGGATTTTATATGAAGATATCCCCTTTCCAACGAATCCCTCTAAGCTATCCAAATATCCACCTGCAGATTCTACAAAAAGAGTGTTTCCAAAATGCTGTATCAAAACAAAGTTTCAACTCTGTTAGTTGAGGACACACATCACAAATAAGTTTGAGGATGCTTCTGTCTAGTTTTTATTCGAAGATATTTCCTTTCTCACCATAGGCCTGAAAGCGCTTGAAATGTCCACTTCCAGATACTACAGAATGAGTGTTTCAAACCTGCTCTATAAAAGTGAATGTTCAATTCCGTGACTTCAATGCAAACATCAGAAAGAAGTTCCTGAGAATGCTTCTCTCTAGATTTTATACGTAATCCCGCTTCCAACGAAATCCTCAGAGCCATCCGAATATCCACTTTCTGATTCCACAAAAAGAGTGTTTTAAAACGGCTCTGTAAAAACAAAAGTTCAACTCTGTTAGTTGAATACACACATCACAAACAAGTTTCTGAGAATGCTTCTGTCTAGTTTTTATGGGAAGATATTTCCTTTTTCACCATAGGCCTCAAAGCGCTCGAAATGTCCGCTTCCAGATAGTGCAGAAAGAGTGTTTCAAACGTGCTCTATAAAAGGGAATATTCAACTCTGTGACTTGAATGGAAACATCACAAAGCAGTTTCTGAGAATGCTTCCCTCTAGATTTTATATGGAGATATTCCCTTTTCCAACGAAATCTTCAAATCTATCTAAATATCAACTTGCAGATTCTACTCAAGGAATGTTTCCAAAATGCTGTATCCAGGCAATGGTTCAACTCTGTTAATTGAGGACATACAGCACAAAGAAGTTTCTGAGAATGCTTCTGTCTAGATTTTATATGAAGATATCCCGTTTCCAACGAAATCCTCAAAGCTATCCAAATATCCACTTGCAGATTCTACAAAAAGATTGTTTCAAAACTGCTGTGTCAAAAGGAAGGTTCAACTCTGTTACTTGAGTACACACATCAAAAAGAAGTTTCTGAGAATGCTTGTTTCTGGTTTTTATGAGAAGATATTTCCTTTTTCACCATAGGCCTCAAAGCGCTGCAAATGTCCACTTCCAAATATTACAAAAAGAGTGTTTCAAACCTGCTCTATGAAAGGAAGTTTTCAACTCTATGAGTGGAATGCAAACATCACAGAGAAGTTTCTGAGAATGCATCTGTCTTGAGTTTATATGCAGAAATTCCCGTTTCCAACGAAATCTTAAAATCTATCCAAATATCCACCTGCAGATCCTACAAAAGGAGTGTTTCCAAAATGCTGTATCAAAACAAAGGTTCAACTGTGTTCGTTTAGGACACACATCACAAATAAGTTTCTGAGAATCCTTCTGTCTGGTTTTTATTTGAAGAGATTTCCTTTCTCCCCGTAGGCCTGAAAGCGCTTGAAATGTCCACTTCCAGATACTACAGAAAGAGTGTTTCAAACCTGCACTCTGAAAAGGAATGTTCAATTCTGTGACTTGAATGCAAACATCAGAAAGAAGTTCCTGAGAATGCTTCTCTCTAGATTTTATACGTCATCCCGTTTCCAACGAAATCCACAAAGCTATCCAATTATCCACTTTCAGATTCCACAAAAAGAGTGTTTTAAATTGCTCTGTAACAGAAATGTTCAACTCTGTTAGTTGAATACACACATCACAAACAAGTTTCTGAGACGGCTTCTGTCTAGTTTTTATGGGAAGATATTTCCTTTTAACCATAGGCCTCAAAGAGCTCGAAATATCCACTTCCAGGTAGTGCCGAAAGAGTGTTTCAAACCTACTCTATAAAAGGGAATATTCAACTCTGTGACTTGAATGCAAACATCACAAAGCAGTTTCTGAGAATGCTTCCGTCTAGATTTTCTATGAAGATATTCCCGTTTCCAACGAAATCTTCAAAGCTATCTAAATATCAACTTGCAGATTCTACTAAAGGAATGTCTCCAAAATGCTGTATCCAAACAAAGGTTCAGCTCTGTGAATTGAGGACATACAGCACAAAGAAGTTTCTGAGAATGCTCCTGTCTGGATTTTATATGAAGATAACCCGTTTCCAACGAAATCCTCAAAGCTATCCAAATATCCACTTGCAGATTCTACCAAAAGAGTGTTTCAAAACTGCTCTGTCAAAAGGAAGGTTCAACACTGTTACTTGAGTACACACAACACAAAGAAGTTTCTGAGAATGCTTCTTTCTGGTTTTTATGAGAAGATATTTCCTTTTTCACCATAGGCCTCAAAGAGCTCGAAATGTCCGCTTCCAGGTAGGGCAGAAAGAGTGTTTCAAACCTGCTCTATGAAAGGAAGTGTTCAACTCTACTGAGTTGAATGCAAACATCACAGAGATGTTTCCGAGAATGCTTCTGTCTTGATTTTATAGGAAGATATTCCGGTTTCCAACGAAATCTTCAAAGCTATCCAAATATCCACCTGCAGATTCTACAAAAGGAGTGTTTCCAAAATGCTGTATCAAAACAAAGGTTCAACTCTGTTAGTTGAGGACACACATCACAAATAAGTTTCTGAGAATGCTTCTGTCTACTTTTTATTTGAAGGTATTTCCTTTCTCTCCATAGGCCTGAAAGCGCTTGAAATGCCCACTTCCAGATACTAGAGAAAGAGTGTTTCAAACCTGCTCTATGAAAGGGAATGTTCAATTCTGTGACTTGAATGCAAACATCACAAAGAAGTTCCTGAGAATGCTTCTCTCTAGATATTATATGTCATCCCGTTTCCAACGAAATCCTCAAAGCTATCCAAATATCCACTTGCAGATTCTACAAAAAGAGTGTTTCAAAACTGCTCTGTCAAAAGGATGGTTCAACACTGTTACATGAGTACACACAACACAACGAAGTTTCTGAGAATGCTTCTTTCTGGTTTCTATGAGAAGATATTTCCTTTTTCACCATAGGACTCAAAGCGCTCGAAATGTCCTCTTCCAGATAGTGCAGAAAGAGTGTTTCAAACCTGCTCTATGAAAGGAAGTGTACAACTCCATGAGCTGAATGCAAACATCACTGAGAAGTTTCTGAGAATGCTTCTGTTTGATTTTATATGAAGAAATTCCCGTTTCCAACGAAATCTTCAGAGCTATGCACATATCCACCTGCAGATTCTACAAAAGGAGTGTTTCCAAAATGCTGTATCAAAACCAAGGTTCAACTCTGTTAGTTGAGGACACACATCACAAATAAGTTTCTGAGAATGCTTCTGTCTAGATTTTATATGAAGATATCCCCTTTCCAACGAATCCCTCTAAGCTATCCAAATATCCACCTGCAGATTCTACAAAAAGAGTGTTTCCAAAATGCTGTATCAAAACAAAGTTTCAACTCTGTTAGTTGAGGACACACATCACAAATAAGTTTCTGAGGATGCTTCTGTCTAGTTTTTATTTGAAGATATTTCCTTTCTCCCCATAGGCCTGAAAGCGCTTGAAATGTCCGCTTCCAGATACTACAGAATGAGTGTTTCAAACCTGCTCTGTCAAAGTGAATGTTCAATTCTGTGACTTCAATGCAAACATCACAAAGTAGTTCCTGAGAATGCTTCTCTCTAGATTTTACATGTAATCCCGCTTCCAGCGAAATCCTCCAAGCCATCCGAATATCCACTTTCTGATTCCACAAAAAGATTGTCTTAAAACTGCTCTGTAAAAATAAAAGTTCAAGTCTGTTAGGTGAATACACACATCATAAACAAGTTTCTGAGAATGCTTCTGTCTAGTTTTTATGGGAAGATATTTCCTTTTTCACCATAAGCCTCACAGCGCTCGAAATGTCCACTTCCAGATAGTGCAGAAAGAGTGTTTCAAACGTGCTCTATAAAAGAGAATATTCAACTCTGTGACTTGAATGGAAACATCACAAAGCAGTTTCTGAGAATGCCTCCGTCTAGATTTTATATGAAGATATTCCCGTTTCCAACGAAATCTTCAAATCTATCTAAATATCAACTTGCAGATTCTACTAAAGGAATGTTTCCAAAATGCTGTATCCAAGCAATGGTTCAACTCTGTTAATTGAGGACATACAGCACAAAGAAGTTTCTGAGAATGCTTCTGTCTAGATTTTATATGAAGATATCCCGTTTGCAACGAAATCCTCAAAGCTATCCAAATATCCACTTGCAGATTCTACAAAAAGATTGTTTCAAAACTGCTGTGTCAAAAGGAAGGTTCAACTCTGTTACTTGAGTACACACATCAAAAAGAAGTTTCTGAGAATGCTTGTTTCTGGTTTTTATGAGAAGATATTTCCTTTTTCACCATAGGCCTCAAAGCGCTGCAAATGTCCACTTCCAAATATTACAAAAAGAGTGTTTCAAACCTGCTCTATGAAAGGAAGTTTTCAACTCTATGAGTGGAATGCAAACATCACAGAGAAGTTTCTGAGAATGCATCTGTCTTGAGTTTATATGAAGAAATTCCCGTTTCCAACGAAATCTTAAAATCTATCCACATATCCACCTGCAGATTCTACAAAAGGAGTGTTTCCAAAATGCTGTATCAAAACAAAGGTTCAACTGTGTTCGTTTAGGACACACATCACAAATAAGTTTCTGAGAATCCTTCTGTCTAGTTTTTATTTGAAGATATTTCCTTTCTCCCCATAGGCCTGAAAGCGCTTGAAATGTCCACTTCCAGATACTACAGAAAGAGTGTTTCAAACCTGCACTATGAAAAGGAATGTTCAATTCTGTGACTTGAATGCAAACATCAGAAAGAAGTTCCTGAGAATGCTTCTCTCTAGATTTTATACGTCATCCCGTTTCCAACGAAATCCACAAAGCTATCCAATTATCCACTTTCAGATTCCACAAAAAGAGTGTTTTAAAACTGCTCTGTAAAAAGAAATGTTCAACGCTCTTACTTGAATACACACATCTCAAACAAGTTTCTGAGAAGGCTTCCGTCTAGTTTTTATGGGAAGATATTTCCTTTTTCACCATAGGCCTCAAAGCGCTCGAAATCTCCACTTCCAGGGAGTGCAGAAAGAGTGTTTCAAACCTGCTCTGTAAAAGAATATTTAACTCTGTGACTTGAATGCAAACATCACAAAGCAGTTTCTGACAATGCTTCCGTCTAGTATTTTTTATGAAGATATTCCCGTTTCCAACGAAATCTTCAAAGCTATCTAAATATCAACTTGCAGATTCTACTAAAGGAATGTTTCCAAAATGCTGTATCCAAACAAAGGTTCAACTCTGTGAATTGAGGACATACAGCACAAAGAAGTTTCTGAGAATGCTTCTGTCTAGATTTAATATGAAGATAACCCGTTTCCAACGAAATCCTCAAAGCTATCCAAATATCCACTTGCAGATTCTACAAAAAGAGTGTTTCAAAACTGCTCTGTCAAAAGGATGGTTCAACACTGTTACATGAGTACACACAACACAAAGAAGTTTCTGAGAACGCTTCTTTCTGGTTTTTATGAGAAGATATTTCCTTTTTCACCATAGGCCTCAAAGCGCTCGAAATGTCCACTTCCTGGTAGTGCAGAAAGAGTGTTTCAAACCTGCTCTATGAAAGGAAGTGTTCAACTCCATGAGCTGAACGCAAACATCACAGAGAAGTTTCTGAGAATGCTTCTGTTTGATTTTATATGAAGAAATTCCCGTTTCCAACGAAATCTTCAAAGCTATCCACATATCCACCTGCAGATTCTACAAAAGGAGTGTTTCCAAAATGCTGTATCAAAACCAAGGTTCCACTCTGTTAGTTGAGGACACACATCACAAATAAGTTTCTGAGAATGCTTCTGTCTAGATTTTATATGAAGATATCCCCTTTCCAACGAATCCCTCTAAGCTATCCAAATATCCACCTGCAGATTCTACAAAAAGAGTGTTTCCAAAATGCTGTATCAAAACAAAGTTTCAACTCTGTTAGTTGAGGACACACATCACAAATAAGTTTCTGAGGATGCTTCTGTCTAGTTTTTATTTGAAGATATTTCCTTTCTCCCCATAGGCCTGAAAGCGCTAGAATTGTCCGCTTCCAGATACTACAGAATGAGTGTTTCAAACCTGCTCTATCAAAGTGAATGTTCAATTCTGTGACATCAATGCAAACATCACAAAGTAGTTCCTGAGAATGCTTCTCTCTAGATTTTATATGTAATCCCGCTTCCAACGAAATCCTCAAAGCCATCCGAATATCCACTTTCTGATTCCACAAAAAGATTGTCTTAAAACTGCTCTGTAAAAACAAAAGTTCAAGTCTGTTAGTTGAATACACACATCATAAACAAGTTTCTGAGAATGCTTCTGTCTAGTTTTTATGGGAAGATATTTCCTTTTTCACCATAGGCCTCACAGCGCTCGAAATGTCCACTTCCAGATAGTGCAGAAAGATTGTTTCAAACGTGCTCTATAAAAGAGAATATTCAACTCTGTGACTTCAATGGAAACATCACAAAGCAGTTTCTGAGAATGCCTCCGTCTAGATTTTATATGAAGATATTCCCGTTTCCAAAGAAATCTTCAAATCTATCTAAATATCAACTTGCAGATTCTACTAAAGGAATGTTTCCAAAATGCTGTATCCAAGCAATGGTTCAACTCTGTTAATTGAGGACATACAGCACAAAGAAGTTTCTGAGAATGCTCCTGTCTGGATTTTATATGAAGATATCCCGTTTCCAACGAAACCCTCAAAGCTATCCAAATATCCACTTACAGATTCTACAAAAAGATTGTTTCAAAACTGCTGTGTCAATAGGAAGGTTCAGCTCTGTTACTTGAGTACACACATCAAAAAGAAGTTTCTGAGAATGCTTGTTTCTGGTTTTTATGAGAAGAATTTCCTTTTTCACCATAGGCCTCAAAGCGCTGCAAATGTCCACTTCCAAATATTACAAAAAGAGTGTTTCAAACCTGCTCTATGAAAGGAAGTTTTCAACTCTATGAGTGGAATGCAAACATCACAGAGAAGTTTCGGAGAATGCATCTGTCTTGAGTTTATATGAAGAAATTCCCGTTTCCAACGAAATCTTAAAATCTATCCAAATATCCACCTGCAGATTCTACAAAGGGAGTGTTTCCAAAATGCTGTATCAAAACAAAGGTTCAACTGTGTTCGTTTAGGACACACATCACCAATAAGTTTCTGAAAATCCTTCTGTCTAGTTTTTATTTGAAGATATTTTCTTTCTCCCCATAGGCCTGAAAGCGCTTGAAATGTCCACTTCCAGATACTACAGAAAGAGTGTTTCAAACCTGCACTATGAAAAGGAATGTTCAATTCTGTGACTTGAATGCAAACATCAGAAAGAAGTTCCTGAGAATGCTTCTCTCTAGATTTTATACGTCATCCCGTTTCCAACGAAATCCACAAAGCTATCCAATTATCCACTTTCAGATTCCACAAAAAGAGTGTTTTAAAACTGCTCTGTAAAAAGAAATGTTCAACGCTCTTAGTTGAATACACACATCTCAAACAAGTTTCTGAGAAGGCTTCCGTCTAGTTTTTATGGGAAGATATTTCCTTTTTCACCATAGGCCTCAAAGCGCTCGAAATCTCCACTTCCAGGGAGTGCAGAAAGAGTGTTTCAAACCTGCTCTGTAAAAGAATATTTAACTCTGTGACTTGAATGGAAACATCACAAAGCAGTTTCTGGCAATGCTTCCGTCTAGATTTTTTATGAAGATATTCCCGTTTCCAACGAAATCTTCAAAGCTATCTAAATATCAACTTGCAGATTCTACTAAAGGAATGTTTCCAAAATGCTGTATCCAAACAAAGGTTCAACTCTGTGAATTGAGGACATACAGCACAAAGAAGTTTCTGAGAATGCTTCAGTCTAGATTTAATATGAAGATAACCCGTTTCCAACGAAATCCTCAAAGCTATCCAAATATCCACTTGCAGATTCTACAAAAAGAGTGTTTCAAAACTGCTCTGTCAAAAGGATGGTTCAACACTGTTACATGAGTACACACAACACAAAGAAGTTTCTGAGAACGCTTCTTTCTGGTTTTTATGAGAAGATATTTCCTTTTTCACCATAGGCCTCAAAGCGCTCGAAATGTCCACTTCCTGGTAGTGCAGAAAGAGTGTTTCAAACCTGCTCTATGAAAGGAAGTGTTCAACTCCATGAGCTGAATGCAAACATCACAGAGAAGTTTCTGAGAATGCTTCTGTTTGATTTTATATGAAGAAATTCCCGTTTCCAACGAAATCTTCAAAGCTATCCACATATCCACCTGCAGATTCTACAAAAGGAGTGTTTCCAAAATGCTGTATCAAAACCAAGGTTCAACTCTGTTAGTTGAGGACACACATCACAAATAAGTTTCTGAGAATGCTTCTGTCTGGATTTTATATGAAGATATCCCCTTTCCAACGAATCCCTCTAAGCTATCCAAATATCCACCTGCAGATTCTACAAAAAGAGTGTTTCCAAAATGCTGTATCAAAACAAAGTTTCAACTCTGTTAGTTGAGGACACACATCACAAATAAGTTTCTGAGGATGCTTCTGTCTAGTTTTTATTCGAAGATATTTCCTTTCTCACCATAGGCCTGAAAGCGGTTGAAATGTCCACTTCCAGATACTACAGAATGAGTGTTTCAAACCTGCTCTATAAAAGTGAATGTTCAATTCCGTGACTTCAATGCAAACATCAGAAAGAAGTTCCTGAGAATGCTTCTCTCTAGATTTTATACGTAATCCCGCTTCCAACGAAATCCTCAGAGCCATCCGAATATCCACTTTCTGATTCCACAAAAAGAGTGTTTTAAAACGGCTCTGTAAAAACAAAAGTTCAACTCTGTTAGTTGAATACACACATCACAAACAAGTTTCTGAGAATGCTTCTGTCTAGTTTTTATGGGAAGATATTTCCTTTTTCACCATAGGCCTCAAAGCGCTCGAAATGTCCGCTTCCAGATAGTGCAGAAAGAGTGTTTCAAACGTGCTCTATAAAAGGGAATATTCAACTCTGTGACTTGAATGGAAACATCACAAAGCAGTTTCTGAGAATGCTTCCCTCTAGATTTTATATGGAGATATTCCCTTTTCCAACGAAATCTTCAAATCTATCTAAATATCAACTTGCAGATTCTACTCAAGGAATGTTTCCAAAATGCTGTATCCAAGCAATGGTTCAACTCTGTTAATTGAGGACATACAGCACAAAGAAGTTTCTGAGAATGCTTCTGTCTAGATTTTATATGAAGATATCCCGTTTCCAACGAAATCCTCAAAGCTATCCAAATATCCACTTGCAGATTCTACAAAAAGATTGTTTCAAAACTGCTGTGTCAAGAGGAAGGTTCAACTCTGTTACTTGAGTACACACATCAAAAAGAAGTTTCTGAGAATGCTTGTTTCTGGTTTTTATGAGAAGATATTTCCTTTTTCACCATAGGCCTCAAAGCGCTGCAAATGTCCACTTCCAAATATTACAAAAAGAGTGTTTCAAACCTGCTCTATGAAAGGAAGTTTTCAACTCTATGAGTGGAATGCAAACATCACAGAGAAGTTTCTGAGAATGCATCTGTCTTGAGCTTCTATGAAGAAATTCCCGTTTCCAACGAAATCTTAAAATCTATCCAAATATCCACCTGCAGATCCTACAAAAGGAGTGTTTCCAAAATGCTGTATCAAAACAAAGGTTCAACTGTGTTCGTTTAGGACACACATCACAAATAAGTTTCTGAGAATCCTTCTCTCTAGTTTTTATTTGAAGATATTTCCTTTCTCCCTGTAGGCCTGAAAGCGCTTGAAATGTCCACTTCCAGATACTACAGAAAGAGTGTTTCAAACCTGCACTCTGAAAAGGAATGTTCAATTCTGTGACTTGAATGCAAACATCAGAAAGAAGTTCCTGAGAATGCTTCTCTCTAGATTTTATACGTCATCCCGTTTCCAACGAAATCCACAAAGCTATCCAATTATCCACTTTCAGATTCCACAAAAAGAGTGTTTTAAATTGCTCTGTAACAGAAATGTTCAACTCTGTTAGTTGAATACACACATCACAAACAAGTTTCTGAGACGGCTTCTGTCTAGTTTGTATGGGAAGATATTTCCTTTTAACCATAGGCCTCAAAGAGCTCGAAATATCCACTTCCAGGTAGTGCCGAAAGAGTGTTTCAAACCTACTCTATAAAAGGGAATATTCAACTCTGTGACTTGAATGCAAACATCACAAAGCAGTTTCTGAGAATGCTTCCGTCTAGATTTTCTATGAAGATATTCCCGTTTCCAACGAAATCTTCAAAGCTATCTAAATATCAACTTGCAGATTCTACTAAAGGAATGTCTCCAAAATGCTGTATCCAAACAAAGGTTCAGCTCTGTGAATTGAGGACATACAGCACAAAGAAGTTTCTGAGAATGCTCCTGTCTGGATTTTATATGAAGATAACCCGTTTCCAACGAAATCCTCAAAGCTCTCCAAATATCCACTTGCAGATTCTACCAAAAGAGTGTTTCAAAACTGCTCTGTCAAAAGGAAGGTTCAACACTGTTACTTGAGTACACACAACACAAAGAAGTTTCTGAGAATGCTTCTTTCTGGTTTTTATGAGAAGATATTTCCTTTTTCACCATAGGCCTCAAAGCGCTCGAAATGTCCGCTTCCAGGTAGTGCAGAAAGAGTGTTTCAAACCTGCTCTATGAAAGGAAGTGTTCAACTCTACTGAGTTGAATGCAAACATCACAGAGATGTTTCCGAGAATGCTTCTGTCTTGATTTTATATGAAGATATTCCGGTTTCCAACGAAATCTTCAAAGCTATCCAAATATCCACCTGCAGATTCTACAAAAGGAGTGTTTCCAAAATGCTGTATCAAAACAAAGGTTCAACTCTGTTAGTTGAGGACACACATCACAAATAAGTTTCTGAGAATGCTTCTGTCTAGTTTTTATTTGAAGGTATTTCCTTTCTCTCCATAGGCCTGAAAGCGCTTGAAATGCCCACTTCCAGATACTAGAGAAAGAGTGTTTCAAACCTGCTCTATGAAAGGGAATGTTCAATTCTGTGACTTGAATGCAAACATCACAAAGAAGTTCCTGAGAATGCTTCTCTCTAGATATTATATGTCATCCCGTTTCCAACGAAATCCTCAAAGCTATCCAAATATCCACTTGCAGATTCTACAAAAAGAGTGTTTCAAAACTGCTCTGTCAAAAGGATGGTTCAACACTGTTACATGAGTACACACAACACAAAGAAGTTTCTGAGAATGCTTCTTTCTGGTTTCTATGAGAAGATATTTCCATTTTTCACCATAGGACTCAAAGCGCTCGAAATGTCCTCTTCCAGGTAGTGCAGAAAGAGTGTTTCAAACCTGCTCTATGAAAGGAAGTGTACAACTCCATGAGCTGAATGCAAACATCACTGAGAAGTTTCTGAGAATGCTTCTGTTTGATTTTATATGAAGAAATTCCCGTTTCCAACGAAATCTTCAGAGCTATCCACATATCCACATGCAGATTCTACAAAAGGAGTGTTTCCAAAATGCTGTATCAAAACCAAGGTTCAACTCTGTTAGTTGAGGACACACATCACAAATAAGTTTCTGAGAATGCTTCTGTCTAGATTTTATATGAAGATATCCCCTTTCCAACGAATCCCTCTAAGCTATCCAAATATCCACCTGCAGATTCTACAAAAAGAGTGTTTCCAAAATGCTGTATCAAAACAAAGTTTCAACTCTGTTAGTTGAGGACACACATCACAAATAAGTTTGAGGATGCTTCTGTCTAGTTTTTATTCGAAGATATTTCCTTTCTCACCATAGGCCTGAAAGCGCTTGAAATGTCCACTTCCAGATACTACAGAATGAGTGTTTCAAACCTGCTCTATCAAAGTGAATGTTCAATTCTGTGACTTCAATGCAAACATCACAAAGAAGTTCCTGAGAATGCTTCTCTCTAGATTTTATACGTAATCCCGCTTCCAACGAAATCCTCAGAGCCATCCGAATATCCACTTTCTGATTCCACAAAAAGAGTGTTTTAAAACGGCTCTGTAAAAACAAAAGTTCAACTCTGTTAGTTGAATACACACATCACAAACAAGTTTCTGAGAATGCTTCCATCTAGTTTTTATGGGAAGATATTTCCTTTTTCACCATAGGCCTCAAAGCGCTCGAAATCTCCACTCCCAGGGAGTGCAGAAAGAGTGTTTCAAACCTGCTCTATAAAAGAATATTTAACTCTGTGACTTGAATGCAAACATCACAGAGCAGTTTCTGACAATGCTTCCCTCTAGATTTTATATGGAGATATTCCCTTTTCCAACGAAATCTTCCAATCTATCTAAATATCAACTTGCAGATTCTACTCAAGGAATGTTTCCAAAATGCTGTATCCAGGCAATGGTTCAACTCTGTTAATTGAGGACATACAGCACAAAGAAGTTTCTGAGAATGCTTCTGTCTAGATTTTATATGAAGATATCCCGTTTCCAACGAAATCCTCAAAGCTATCCAAATATCCACTTGCAGATTCTACAAAAAGATTGTTTCAAAACTGCTGTGTCAAGAGGAAGGTTCAACTCTGTTACTTGAGTACACACATCAAAAAGAAGTTTCTGAGAATGCTTGTTTCTGGTTTTTATGAGAAGATATTTCCTTTTTCACCATAGGCCTCAAAGCGCTGCAAATGTCCACTTCCAAATATTACAAAAAGAGTGTTTCAAACCTGCTCTATGAAAGGAAGTTTTCAACTCTATGAGTGGAATGCAAACATCACAGAGAAGTTTCTGAGAATGCATCTGTCTTGAGTTTCTATGCAGAAATTCCCGTTTCCAACGAAATCTTAAAATCTATCCAAATATCCACCTGCAGATCCTACAAAAGGAGTGTTTCCAAAATGCTGTATCAAAACAAAGGTTCAACTGTGTTCGTTTAGGACACACATCACAAATAAGTTTCTGAGAATCCTTCTGTCTAGTTTTTATTTGAAGATATTTCCTTTCTCCCCGTAGGCCTGAAAGCGCTTGAAATGTCCACTTCCAGATACTACAGAAAGAGTGTTTCAAACCTGCACTCTGAAAAGGAATGTTCAATTCTGTGACTTGAATGCAAACATCAGAAAGAAGTTCCTGAGAATGCTTCTCTCTAGATTTTATACGTCATCCCGTTTCCAACGAAATCCACAAAGCTATCCAATTATCCACTTTCAGATTCCACAGAAAGAGTGTTTTAAAATTGCTCTGTAACAGAAATGTTCAACTCTGGTAGTTGAATACACACATCACAAACAAGTTTCTGAGACGGCTTCTGTCTAGTTTTTATGGGAAGATATTTCCTTTTAACCATAGGCCTCAAAGAGCTCGAAATATCCACTTCCAGGTAGTGCCGAAAGAGTGTTTCAAACCTACTCTATAAAAGGGAATATTCAACTCTGTGACTTGAATGCAAACATCACAAAGCAGTTTCTGAGAATGCTTCCGTCTAGATTTTCTATGAAGATATTCCCGTTTCCAACGAAATCTTCAAAGCTATCTAAATATCAACTTGCAGATTCTACTAAAGGAATGTCTCCAAAATGCTGTATCCAAACAAAGGTTCAGCTCTGTGAATTGAGGACATACAGCACAAAGAAGTTTCTGAGAATGCTCCTGTCTGGATTTTATAGGAAGATAACCCGTTTCCAACGAAATCCTCAAAGCTATCCAAATATCCACTTGCAGATTCTACCAAAAGAGTGTTTCAAAACTGCTCTGTCAAAAGGAAGGTTCAACACTGTTACTTGAGTACACACAACACAAAGAAGTTTCTGAGAATGCTTCTTTCTGGTTTTTATGAGAAGATATTTCCTTTTTCACCATAGGCCTCAAAGCGCTCGAAATGTCCGCTTCCAGGTAGTGCAGAAAGAGTGTTTCAAACCTGCTCTATGAAAGGAAGTGTTCAACTCTACTGAGTTGAATGCAAACATCACAGAGATGTTTCCGAGAATGCTTCTGTCTTGATTTTATATGAAGATATTCCGGTTTCCAACGAAATCTTCAAAGCTATCCAAATATCCACCTGCAGATTCTACAAAAGGAGTGTTTCCAAAATGCTGTATCAAAACAAAGGTTCAACTCTGTTAGTTGAGGACACACATCACAAATAAGTTTCTGAGAATGCTTCTGTCTAGTTTTTATTTGAAGGTATTTCCTTTCTCTCCATAGGCCTGAAAGCGCTTGAAATGCCCACTTCCAGATACTAGAGAAAGAGTGTTTCAAACCTGCTCTATGAAAGGGAATGTTCAATTCTGTGACTTGAATGCAAACATCACAAAGAAGTTCCTGAGAATGCTTCTCTCTAGATATTATATGTCATCCCGTTTCCAACGAAATCCTCAAAGCTATCCAAATATCCACTTGCAGATTCTACAAAAAGAGTGTTTCAAAACTCCTCTGTCAAAAGGATGGTTCAACACTGTTACATGAGTACACACAACACAAAGAAGTTTCTGAGAATGCTTCTTTCTGGTTTCTATGAGAAGATATTTCCTTTTTCACCATAGGACTCAAAGCGCTCGAAATGTCCTCTTCCAGGTAGTGCAGAAAGAGTGTTTCAAACCTGCTCTATGAAAGGAAGTGTTCAACTCCATGAGCTGAATGCAAACATCACTGAGAAGTTTCTGAGAATGCTTCTGTTTGATTTTATATGAAGAAATTCCCGTTTCCAACGAAATCTTCAGAGCTATCCACATATCCACCTGCAGATTCTACAAAAGGAGTGTTTCCAAAATGCTGTATCAAAACCAAGGTTCAACTCTGTTAGTTGAGGACACACATCACAAATAAGTTTCTGAGAATGCTTTCTGTCTAGATTTTATATGAAGATATCCCCTTTCCAACGAATCCCTCTAAGCTATCCAAATATGCACCTGCAGATTCTACAAAAAGAGTGTTTCCAAAAGGCTGTATCAATACAAAGTTTCAACTCTGTTAGTTGAGGACACACATCACAAATAAGTTTCTGACGATGCTTCTGTCTAGTTTTTATTCGAAGATATTTCCTTTCTCACCATAGGCCTGAAAGCGCTTGAAATGTCCACTTCCAGATACTACAGAATGAGTGTTTCAAACCTGCTCTATAAAAGTGAATGTTCAATTCCGTGACTTCAATGCAAACATCACAAAGAAGTTCCTGAGAATGCTTCTCTCTAGATTTTATACGTAATCCCGCTTCCAACGAAATCCTCAGAGCCATCCGAATATCCACTTTCTGATTCTACAAAAAGAGTGTTTTAAAACGGCTCTGTAAAAACAAAAGTTCAACTCTGTTAGTTGAATACACACATCACAAACAAGTTTCTGAGAATGCTTCTGTCTAGTTTTTATGGGAAGATATTTCCTTTTTCACCATAGGCCTCAAAGCGCTCGAAATGTCCGCTTCCAGATAGTGCAGAAAGAGTGTTTCAAACGTGCTCTATAAAAGGGAATATTCAACTCTGTGACTTGAATGGAAACATCACAAAGCAGTTTCTGAGAATGCTTCCCTCTAGATTTTATATGGAGATATTCCCTTTTCCAACGAAATCTTCAAATCTATCTAAATATCAACTTGCAGATTCTACTCAAGGAATGTTTCCAAAATGCTGTATCCAGGCAATGGTTCAACTCTGTTAATTGAGGACATACAGCACAAAGAAGTTTCTGAGAATGCTTCTGTCTAGATTTTATATGAAGATATCCCGTTTCCAACGAAATCCTCAAAGCTATCCAAATATCCACTTGCAGATTCTACAAAAAGATTGTTTCAAAACTGCTGTGTCAAGAGGAAGGTTCAACTCTGTTACTTGAGTACACACATCAAAAAGAAGTTTCTGAGAATGCTTGTTTCTGGTTTTTATGAGAAGATATTTCCTTTTTCACCATAGGCCTCAAAGCGCTGCAAATGTCCACTTCCACATATTACAAAAAGAGTGTTTCAAACCTGCTCTATGAAAGGAAGTTTTCAACTCTATGAGTGGAATGCAAACATCACAGAGAAGTTTCTGAGAATGCATCTGTCTTGAGTTTCTATGCAGAAATTCCCGTTTCCAACGAAATCTTAAAATCTATCCAAATATCCACCTGCAGATCCTACAAAAGGAGTGTTTCCAAAATGCTGTATCAAAACAAAGGTTCAACTGTGTTCGTTTAGGACACACATCACAAATAAGTTTCTGAGAATCCTTCTGTCTAGTTTTTATTTGAAGATATTTCCTTTCTCCCCGTAGGCCTGAAAGCGCTTGAAATGTCCACTTCCAGATACTACAGAAAGAGTGTTTCAAACCTGCACTCTGAAAAGGAATGTTCAATTCTGTGACTTGAATGCAAACATCAGAAAGAAGTTCCTGAGAATGCTTCTCTCTAGATTTTATACGTCATCCCGTTTCCAACGAAATCCACAAAGCTATCCAATTATCCACTTTCAGATTCCACAGAAAGAGTGTTTTAAAATTGCTCTGTAACAGAAATGTTCAACTCTGGTAGTTGAATACACACATCACAAACAAGTTTCTGAGACGGCTTCTGTCTAGTTTTTATGGGAAGATATTTCCTTTTAACCATAGGCCTCAAAGAGCTCGAAATATCCACTTCCAGGTAGTGCCGAAAGAGTGTTTCAAACCTACTCTATAAAAGGGAATATTCAACTCTGTGACTTGAATGCAAACATCACAAAGCAGTTTCTGAGAATGCTTCCGTCTAGATTTTCTATGAAGATATTCCCGTTTCCAACGAAATCTTCAAAGCTATCTAAATATCAACTTGCAGATTCTACTAAAGGAATGTCTCCAAAATGCTGTATCCAAACAAAGGTTCAGCTCTGTGAATTGAGGACATACAGCACAAAGAAGTTTCTGAGAATGCTCCTGTCTGGATTTTATAGGAAGATAACCCGTTTCCAACGAAATCCTCAAAGCTCTCCAAATATCCACTTGCAGATTCTACCAAAAGAGTGTTTCAAAACTGCTCTGTCAAAAGGAAGGTTCAACACTGTTACTTGAGTACACACAACACAAAGAAGTTTCTGAGAATGCTTCTTTCTGGTTTTTATGAGAAGATATTTCCTTTTTCACCATAGGCCTCAAAGCGCTCGAAATGTCCGCTTCCAGGTAGTGCAGAAAGAGTGTTTCAAACCTGCTCTATGAAAGGAAGTGTTCAACTCTACTGAGTTGAATGCAAACATCACAGAGATGTTTCCGAGAATGCTTCTGTCTTGATTTTATATGAAGATATTCCGGTTTCCAACGAAATCTTCAAAGCTATCCAAATATCCACCTGCAGATTCTACAAAAGGAGTGTTTCCAAAATGCTGTATCAAAACAAAGGTTCAACTCTGTTAGTTGAGGACACACATCACAAATAAGTTTCTGAGAATGCTTCTGTCTAGTTTTTATTTGAAGGTATTTCCTTTCTCTCCATAGGCCTGAAAGCGCTTGAAATGCCCACTTCCAGATACTAGAGAAAGAGTGTTTCAAACCTGCTCTATGAAAGGGAATGTTCAATTCTGTGACTTGAATGCAAACATCACAAAGAAGTTCCTGAGAATGCTTCTCTCTAGATATTATATGTCATCCCGTTTCCAACGAAATCCTCAAAGCTATCCAAATATCCACTTGCAGATTCTACAAAAAGAGTGTTTCAAAACTGCTCTGTCAAAAGGATGGTTCAACACTGTTACATGAGTACACACAACACAAAGAAGTTTCTGAGAATGCTTCTTTCTGGTTTCTATGAGAAGATATTTCCTTTTTCACCATAGGACTCAAAGCGCTCGAAATGTCCTCTTCCAGGTAGTGCAGAAAGAGTGTTTCAAACCGGCTCTATGAAAGGAAGTGTTCAACTCCATGAACTGAATGCAAACATCACTGAGAACTTTCTGAGAATGCTTCTGTTTGATTTTATATGAAAAAATTCCCGTTTCCAACGAAATCTTCAGAGCTATCCACATATCCACCTGCAGATTCTACAAAAGGAGTGTTTCCAAAATGCTGTATCAAAACCAAGGTTCAACTCTGTTAGTTGAGGACACACATCACAAATAAGTTTCTGAGAATGCTTCTGTCTAGATTCTATATGAAGATATCCCCTTTCCAACGAATCCCTCTAAGCTATCCAAATATCCACCTGCAGATTCTACAAAAAGAGTGTTTCCAAAATGCTGTATCAAAACAAAGTTTCAACTCTGTTAGTTGAGGACACACATCACAAATAAGTTTGAGGATGCTTCTGTCTAGTTTTTATTCGAAGATATTTCCTTTCTCACCATAGGCCTGAAAGCGCTTGAAATGTCCACTTCCAGATACTACAGAATGAGTGTTTCAAACCTGCTCTATCAAAGTGAATGTTCAATTCTGTGACTTCAATGCAAACATCACAAAGAAGTTCCTGAGAATGCTTCTCTCTAGATTTTATATGTAATCCCGCTTCCAACGAAATCCTCAGAGCCATCCGAATATCCACTTTCTGATTCCACAAAAAGAGTGTTTTAAAACGGCTCTGTAAAAACAAAAGTTCAACTCTGTTAGTTGAATACACACATCACAAACAAGTTTCTGAGAATGCTTCTGTCTAGTTTTTATGGGAAGATATTTCCTTTTTCACCATAGGCCTCAAAGCGCTCGAAATGTCCACTTCCAGATAGTGCAGAAAGAGTGTTTCAAACGTGCTCTATAAAAGGGAATATTCAACTCTGTGACTTGAATGGAAACATCACAAAGCAGTTTCTGAGAATGATTCCCTCTAGATTTTCTATGGAGATATTCCCTTTTCCAACGAAATCTTCAAATCTATCTAAATATCAACTTGCAGATTCTACTCAAGGAATGTTTCCAAAATGCTGTATCCAAGCAATGGTTCAACTCTGTTAATTGAGGACATACAGCACAAAGAAGTTTCTGAGAATGCTTCTGTCTAGATTTTATATGAAGATATCCCGTTTCCAACGAAATCCTCAAAGCTATCCAAATATCCACTTGCAGATTCTACAAAAAGATTGTTTCAAAACTGCTGTGTCAAAAGGAAGGTTCAACTCTGTTACTTGAGTACACACATCAAAAAGAAGTTTCTGAGAATGCTTGTTTCTGGTTTTTATGAGAAGATATTTCCTTTTTCACCATAGGCCTCAAAGCGCTGCAAATGTCCACTTCCAAATATTACAAAAAGAGTGTTTCAAACCTGCTCTATGAAAGGAAGTTTTCAACTCTATGAGTGGAATGCAAACATCACAGAGAAGTTTCTGAGAATGCATCTGTCTTGAGTTTATATGAAGAAATTCCCGTTTCCAACGAAATCTTAAAATCTATCCAAATATCCACCTGCAGATTCTACAAAGGGAGTGTTTCCAAAATGCTGTATCAAAACAAAGGTTCAACTGTGTTCGTTTAGGACACACATCACCAATAAGTTTCTGAGAATCCTTCTGTCTAGTTTTTAATTTGAAGATATTTCCTTTCTCCCCATAGGCCTGAAAGCGCTTGAAATGTCCACTTCCAGATAGTACAGAAAGAGTGTTTCAAACCTGCACTATGAAAAGGAATGTTCAATTCTGTGACTTGAATGCAAACATCAGTAAGAAGTTTCTGAGAATGCTTCTCTCTAGATTTTATACGTAATCCCGTTTCCAAAGAAATCCACAAAGCTATCCAATTATCCACTTTCAGATTCCACAAAAAGAGTGTTTTAAAACTGCTCTGTAAAAAGAAATGTTCAACGCTCTTAGTTGAATACACACATCTCAAACAAGTTTCTGAGAAGGCTTCCGTCTAGTTTTTACAGGAAGATATTTCCTTTTTCACCATAGGCCTCAAAGCGCTCGAAATCTCCACTTCCAGGGAGTGCAGAAAGAGTGTTTCAAACCTGCTCTATAAAAGAATATTTAACTCTGTGACTTGAATGCAAACATCACAGAGCAGTTTCTGACAATGCTTCCGTCTAGATTTTTTATGAAGATATTCCCGTTTCCAACGAAATCTTCAAAGCTATCTAAATATCAACTTGCAGATTCTACTAAAGGAATGTTTCCAAAATGCTGTATCCAAACAAAGGTTCAACTCTGTGAATTGAGGACATACAGCACAAAGAAGTTTCTGAGAATGCTTCTGTCTAGATTTAATATGAAGATAACCCGTTTCCAACGAAATCCTCAAAGCTATCCAAATATCCACTGGCAGATTCTACAAAAAGAGTGTTTCAAAACTGCTCTGTCAAAAGGATGGTTCAACACTGTTACATGAGTACACACAACACAAAGAAGTTTCTGAGAACGCTTCTTTCTGGTTTTTATGAGAGGATATTTCCTTTTTCACCATAGGCCTCAAAGCGCTCGAAATGTCCACTTCCAGGTAGTGCAGAAAGAGTGTTTCAAACCTGCTCTATGAAAGGAAGTGTTCAACTCCATGAGCTGAATGCAAACATCACTGAGAAGTTCCTGAGAATGCTTCTGTTTGATTTTATATGAAGAAATTCCCGTTTCCAACGAAATCTTCAAAGCTATCCACATATCCACCTGCAGATTCTTCAAAAGGAGTGTTTCCAAAATGCTGTATCAAAACCAAGGTTCAACTCTGTTAGTTGAGGACACACATCACAAATAAGTTTCTGAGAATGCTTCTGTCTAGATTTTATATGAATTTATCCCCTTTCCAACGAATCCCTCTAAGCTATCCAAGTATCCACCTGCAGATTCTACAAAAAGAGTGTTTCCAAA